>NC_000012.12:43823764-43975279 GCF_000001405.40 Homo sapiens | reverse complement strand
AACTAATTTTATTTTTCCTCTAGCAAATACAATTTGTCTTCCTGACCATACCCTTTGATATAATAATAAATATGAGGTGTTGAGACTAATAAGAGGAACAATGCAACCAAAGATATCTCCCAGTTAGAGATTTTATAGTGACAACTTAAAGACAAAAACCAGGTTAAGAACTAGGTCATGGAAAAGATGAGTTACAAGGCAGACAAGTGGTAGCTCAAGGCAGGATATTTGTGAGAAAATGACAAATTCATTTGCTGTCAAATATTGAGGGCAAAGGCTGAATGGCATTTTGATTGTGATAGGTTAAATACATTGTCCTGGTTCTTAACACCTTCCTGACCTTCCTGGGCTTCAGACAGCTCCCTACATTTTCATAGGTAGGGATGTTAGTTATAACATCATGGAAACTATCACTAAGGAAACTAAATTATTCATTAGCATTACATATTATTAACAGATATGTCAATATTATTAAGAATATAAACATAGAAGACATAATTACTTTATAATTTTTAGTAAAAAAGCCTATTTCCATGTTGTAGCAAATGAGGAAATTATATTAAATACATGATAACTGGAATAACAGACATCAAAAATGTACATCTGGAACAAGGTAAGTTGAGATAGAGAGACAGATCATAAATTTTGCCTATCATAGTTATTAGACAAGAGGATAAAGAGAAATTAAAACAGAAATTCCAAGGAGCAGTCTTCTCACTATCAGGTGTTAACCGATCTAAAGTTTATTTAATCAATCATTCAGCACTTTCTTAAAACATGTGAAAGAAACAAGAACTCAGAAATAGAACAAGTCCTTTACAAAACATACTTTCTAAAGGATAATTCCCAGCTATATATCCCTTCATTTTAAATAAATAATATTAATATTCTCCTATAAAAGGAAAAGTTTTCTGAATAAAGTCAGATTTTAAAATGCTAAAGCCTTTATAATACTTAAAAGCCTTTATAAAATACTTAAAAGACTTTAATATTGGGATTCAACTAGAGAAGTACAATTAGAGTTTCTCTAGACACTGCAGTCTCCAAGAAAAAACAATAACGTGCCACTACTCTGTGTCAAGTGAAGAAATAGGTAGTGAAACAAATAAATCTTTCCAGAACCTGACAAAGGCAGGAAACTGTTCTCTTCCAACTGTGGCTTAAAGTCAAATCACTGAAGGGTATAGAAAAAGTTACTTGATTCAATTTAATCAAGCCCTCTTTCTATGGTCTGATGACTAGAGAAGTTTTGCAGAAAGAGCCAAGTAAATTCTGGTATAATCCAAAAGACTTCTTGTTTAACATAATCTAAACTGACAAAAAAGATACAAAATAGTATTTTTGCTTCTAAAAAGTCTCACTACCCAAGCAAACATTTCTACTTAAAAGATTTTAAAGTCACTATAATGTGGCATATGAAAATGGGTTATGATCCTGATTTAGGAATAGTCAAAGAAGTTCACATGTGGCTTCCTTGACAGTAGACTTCTAAATAAGTGTCCCAGAAAGAATTATAACATCTGGGAAACCAGTCCAAAGCCAAGAACCCCAAATTGCTGTAGCAGCTTTGAATACCAGGCTCTTGCAACAGTAAGTATATGATAATCTGAAATTACATGCCATTGCAAAGAGCTGCTGATCTTGTCTCACACTTTCAACCAAATGCAATGACAGTTTCAAAAGCTGCTTATCACCCCTTTGAAAATTCCTTGTACACTCGCAGTTAAGTCATAACCTAATTAAGACTTCTTGGTTTCACCTGTGAGGTTACTCTTTGTAAAGTTCAAAAGCCGAAAATCTTAACTGCTTGGTGTGGCTAAAGTCAAGTAACAAGGGATTTAGAAGGATTTTCTTAAAGAGTGCTCAGCTTAATTAAAAGTGGATATCCAAGTTACAAGTATATTTAAAAGGCCTTTACATTTTTCTCTTCTTGAATCTTATTTTTCTGGAAATTTTTTTCTCCTTCTCAGTCGACTGAATTATTTTTCTCCATTTTTTGTCTTGCCACTCTTAAAGCACACATGAGAGGCCTTAAGATAAATTCTGGTAGCCTGGGACTCCTTGGGAAAAACAAAGGAGGTGTCACAGACCCTATTTTGGGAAAAAACCTGTTTTCAGAAAAAAACCTTTTTTCTTCATGAAACCCTAGGAATTAAAAGCAGAGAGTTCCCTCTCAAAATCATAGGCTCTGTTCTGTTTTACACTGTGTTATCTAAGTTTTTAGTTTTGGGGGTATCAAATTACTTCATATTATGAGAGCTTTGATATGTAACAACTAGGTAGGAAATATACTTTAAAAGATAACTAATAGTTAAGGAGGGATACTTAACTCTTTGTACATTTGAATCACAGAAGCATGCTCTTGGTCACCTGAAAGATATGCAAATGAGAGGTGAAGCCAGCTGGACTTCCTGGGTCAAGTGGGGACTTGGAGAACTTTTCTGTCTTACAAGAGGTTTGTAAAATGTACCAATCAGTGCTCTGTACCTAGCTAGAGGTTTGTAAAATGTACCGATCTGTGCTCTGTAAAAACACAGCCATCAGCGCTCTGTAGCTAGCTAGAGGTTTGTAAAATCCACCAATCTGTGCTCTGTAAAAACGCACCAATCAGCACTCTGTGGCTACCTAGAGGTTTGTAAAATGGACCAATCAGCACACTGTAAAATGGACCAATCAGCGCTCTGTAAAATGGACCAATCAGCACTCTGTAAAACAGACCAATCAGCAGGACGTGAGCAGGGACAAATAAGGAAATAAAAGCTGGCCACCCCAGCCACCAGCGGCAACCCACTTGCATCCCCTTCCATGCTGTGGAAACTTTGTTCTTTCACTCTTCACAATAAATCCTGCTGCTGCTCACTCTTTGGGTCCATGCCACCTTTAAGAGCTGTAACACTCACCGCAAAGGTCCACGGCTTCATTCTTGAAGTCAGTGAGATGAAGAACCCACCGGAAGGAACCAACTCTGGACACAGAAACATCCCCACCCCCCACACTAAGAGATGAGATTCCCATGGGGGATGGGCTGATTACAAAATAAGTTGATTGGCTTTGGGTTGCCTTATTATGAAATGCATGATATGTGCTGTCTTCTCCCATAGTATCTCCTTCCTGTTGGGGATCTAAGATCCAGTATAAAATGGGACCCTTAATTTTGGGGATTTGTCTTTGCCTTCAGCTGTGCCTATTAGGCCCTAACAATGCATGTTATCCTGGCCCTGTTCCTCCAAGGGCTCCACCCTGAAGCCAATAATCCAATTAAGAACTGGCAAATAAAAAAACTTGATTCCACTTATATGAGGTATCTAAAATATTCAAACACATAAAAGCAGGGAGTGCAGTAGTGGTTGCCAGGGGCTGGAGGGATGGGGAACTGAGAAGTTACTAATCAATGAGTATAAGGTTTTCGTTATTCAAGATGATTAGGTTCTAGACATCTGCTATACAACATTGTGCCTACAGTTAACAATAATGCATTGTATATTTTAAAATTTGTTAAGAGGACAGATCTCATGTTAAGTGTTCTTGCCACATAAACAATAATTTTCATCTAGAGTACTGGAGGTGGGAGGGACATGGTGTGCTACATGTTATGATGTGAGTGACACATGGTTCCATGTGAACACACAGAAGAAACATTTTACCTGACCTTAAGGCGTTAGGAAAGTTTTCCCAGAGGAAATGATGTCTAAGCAGAGACCTGAATAAGTATGAGCTTGCCAGGGTATAGGCAGTGAAGGCGTGGAGGGTAGGGGCTGAAGGGGTTTATATCAAGACCTAGAGGTTTGAAAAAGAAAGTCCTCTTCATAGAACTAAAAGAAGTTCACTTTGGATGGAACTTAGCCTTTGGGCAAAAATTACAAAAGAGCAGAATAATGAGATAAGCTGGGGCCGTTACTTAGAGTAGTAAAAGTCACGGGAAGGACTTGGACTTAATTTTGAAGACAATGATAAGTTGTTCAGTGAACAGTTAGAAGCCAGGACATAAATGTTTTAGAGGAATTACCACCACATGAACATATTGAACTAGGAAGGGCAATTGTTGCAGTAATCCAAGAAAGAAATAATAAGGAGAGCATCAGTAAGGTAGGACTAATTAAATGGATTTGAGAGATACTTAGCAGGTAGAATCAATAAGCCTTTGTGATTTACTATATGCATGAGGTAAGGGAGAAGAAAAAAAAGAATGAACAACACACGTAAGTCTGGCCTTAGCTACTGGGTACATAACTGTGCTATTTGTTGATATGGAACAGAGAGGGTGGCAAGGGTAGGGTGAGAGAAGTGAAGAGTTCAATTTTAGACTATCAGGTTGAATACCGTTGACATATTCAAATGGCTGTTTCTAGTAGCTAGTATGATATTCAGCTGAAAAAAAAATCAAGGGTAGACATACATATTTTAGAATCTCCTGCATAAAGACAGTGAATCAAGCTAGAAAGGTAGGTCCATACAAGTAGCCTAACTAGAGTAAGAAAACAAGATTAAAACCCTGAGTGATGAGAGCCCAAAGAAAACTGAAAAGCAGTACAGTAGTCCCCTCTTGTCCACCAATGGACGCCCGAAACCACAGATAATACTGAACCCTATATATACTGTTTTTTCCTATATATACATACCTATGATAAAGTTTAGTTTCTAAATTAGGCAGAGGAAGAACTTAACAACAATACTTTATAATAAAGTAGAGCAGGCCAGGTGCAGTGGCTCATGTCTGTAATCCCAGCACTTTGAGAGGCCGAGCCAGGCGGATCACAAGGTCAGGAGATTGAGACCATCCTGGTTAACATGGCGAAACCCTGTCTCTACTAAAAATATAAAGTATTAGCCAGGTGTGGTGGCAGATGCCTGTAGTCCCAGCTACTCAGGAGGCTGAGGCAGGAGAATGGCATGAACCCAGGAGGCGGAGCTTGCAGTGAGCCGAGATGGAGCCACTGCACTCCAGCCTGGGCAACAGAGCAAGACTCCATCTCAAAAAAAAATTAATAATAAAAATAAATAAATAAAGGAGAGCAATTATAACAACAGGCCACCATCATTACTCTTGCACACTGAGGTCATTATGAAGTAAAATAAGGGTTCCTTGAACACAAGCACTGTTGTACATTGACAGTCAATCTGATAACCAAGACGGTGATAACCGAGACCTGCCTCCTGCATATCCAATGTGGATATGCTGAACAAAGGGATGATTCACATCCCAGGCAGGATGGCACAAGAGTTCATCAAGCTACTAAGAATGACTCACAACTTATAACTTATGAATTCTTCATTTATGGAACTTTCCATTTAATATTCTCAGATCATGGTTGGCCACAAGTAACTGAAACTGCAAAGAAAAACTGGGGATAAGGAGATACTGCTATACCTAGAGGAGAGATTAAAGAGAGGAGGAGAGTGAATGGTGTTAGGAACCAAGGAAATACAGTATTTCCAGGAGGCAGGAATGGTGATAAGTGTCAAGGGATGGAGAGAGAAAGAGGTTAAGGAGAATAATGACTGGGAAGCATCCACTGGATGATTTGACAGAGTCCCTAGGTGACCGTATGGATTTTAGAAACACCCAAGATGATGGCAAGACTTGAAGCAAAGACCAAGACTGTGAGACAGGCACAGAAACCTTTTAGTGAGAGAGAAGGAATATTCAGCAAGTTGCCAGATGACAGAATGGAAGAAGTACAAGTTGAATGCCAGAAGCCTCCAAGGGTTTTCATACGAGGATGAAAATATAATTTTAAATTATTATTATTATTTTTTTGATACAGAGTCTCACTCTGTTGCCCAGGCTGGAGTGCAGTGGTGCGATCTTGGCTCACTGCAACCTCCGCCTCCCAGGTTCAAGCAATTCTCTGCCTTAGCTTTCTGAGTAGCTGGGATTACAGGCACCCGCCCCCATGCCTGGCTAATTTTTTTTTTTTTTTTTAGTAGAGACGGGGTTTCACCATCTTGGCCAGGCTGGTCTTGAACTCCTGACCTCGTGATCCACCCACCTCAGTCTCCCGAAGTGCTGGGATTACAGGCATGAGCCACCGCGCCCGGCCAATTTTAAATTAAGTTTTAAAGGGTTGATAAATCTGTACTGTACACTAACAGATATCTATCACAAACAATATTTTGCTTCTATCTTTTCTTGACAGCAATTAAAGTGCATTTTCTACTTCATTCTGTAAAGTAAAAAGATATTTCTATGGCTCTGTTGTGCTTTCTTTGATTAGTGATACTGTGACATTACCAGCCAAAACAGTTTTATTATATCTTTTTATATTTCCGCTTACAATATAAATCTTACTTCCCAAAGTAAAATTCAAACTCATTTCCTACTAAAAGGACATGCACATAAATCCGCGTGTCACACAAAGCTCATAAGGAAGTGTTAAGTGATTTTAATAAGAATTATTTCCCCATGTGCAGGCTGCAGTAAAAACTGCCAATTCTGGAAACAGTTTTAAATACGGGTACTTTCTCATAAATAACTGAAACAGCATTACACCACTATTCCTAGATTAATGTGGTATATGGCATCTATAATCTGATGACTCTAATAATTTGTATTGTGCTAAAGAGATTTTTTTTTTTTAATTCTGCAAAGGGTTTTAGCTACCCCTATAGCAGAATAGGATGAGATGTAGCCTGGACTTAATCTTCCTTCAGCAGCTTTTCAAGCTGAATATTTACCTTTTTGGAACAAATAACTTAAAAGTTAAGTTATAGACAACAAATCACAGAACTATATAGCCGGAAAAATGGTGTTACCTGCCAATTATTTTTTCCTTTGTCACAAGTAGAACTTAAACCATTCCCAAAAGACAACCATCCATCTGCAGAAGAAATTTGATGAACTCCTTTGTCATGACACTTGATATTGTTGAAAAAGTCAAATATGCAAGATATTCTCCTTGGAGGCTAGTAAGTTCCACTTGGGTGCCATGTGCTACAATTAGGCTAGTCCTTAAAACTGCAAATAAAGACCATACTGACAGACTTGAAAAGAAAGCCGGCTAAAATTCATTGTTCTGTTTACGGTAAGGATGTTGTTAGAAATGTCACTGAAGGTGTTCTCTACATTTTAGAGAATCCTCTTTATGAAAACTCACAGGAAAAATTTGCATTCAATAAGAAAGATCAATAGTGCTTCTCCCAAATATATGCTGTATAATAAATATCATATGTGGTCTCTATGCCTGAGCCTAAGTCTTCTGTTTATTATTTGCTAATATTCTGTGGAACCATTTTAAAGTCCCCCTACCATAAACATAGAAGAAAATATCCAGAAAAACACATGGCAAAAAATAAAATCAGCGCAGAGAATGCAGGAGAGCATAGGAAAAACTCTTATCCTTCACACATAAGGATTTTGTAGCCATTCTGTGTATGTGTGCGTGTCCACACGCACACGCATGTTTCTGTGTATTTTCATCATTCAGAACACACTATTTTATTTTATATGCAGTGCATTAGTTATCCACTGCTAGGGAATAAATTATCACCAAATGTATCAGTTTAAAACAGAAAGCATTCATTATCTCAGTTTCTGTGGGTCAGGAATCAGAGCACAATTTAGCTGGATCCTCTGGCTGAGGATCTCTCAAAAGGCTATAATCACCACATCGGCTGAGGCTATAATCATCTCATGGCTTGATCTGGGAAGGAACTGCTTCCACTCCCTCATGAGGTTGTTGGCAGGCCTCAGGTCCTTCCTGGCTATTATCTGGAGATAGTTGCTTGCCACATAAGCCTCTCCATAGGACGACATACAGACAATGTGGCAGCTTGCTTCCCCCAGAGTAAGGGCTCCCAGAGAGAGGGCAAGAAAGAGCATGCAAGACAGAAGCCACCCTAACCTCAGAAGTAACATGTGGCTGGGTGCAGTGGCTCATGCCTGTAATCCCAGCACTTTAGGAATCCAAGTGGGAGGATCGCTCGAGTCCAGGAGTTCAAGACCAGCCTGGGAAACATGTGAAACCCATTTCTACACAAAATACAAAAAATTAGCTGGGCATGGTGGCACATGCCTGTAATCCCAGTTACCCAGGAGGCTGAGGTGAGAAGATCATTTGAGCAGGAGGTCAAGGCTGTAGTGAGCTGTGACTGCGCCATCGCATTCCAAACTGGGTGACAGAATGACGCCTCACTCAAAAAAAAAAAAAGAAGAAGAAGTAACATGGCATTGCTTTTATCAAATTCTATTCATTAGAAGCAGGATCCACTGGGTTCGACCTATACTTAAGGGGAAAAGAATAAAGGATTGGGCTTAATACCAGGAAGTAGGATCACTGAGACCATCTCAGAGGCTGCCCACTACACAGTTATAGTCATTTCTCACATTCTAGGGACTCTTCTTTAGTCCTATTGAAATCTGAGGCAGGGCATGACAGATTTGCCTTAAGAAAAGTAGAGTTCATTTTAATTTTCTTAAATTATTGTCATGGGCACAGAAAATGCAATCAAATTAGTGAGTTAGTCCTTAATTTGACAATTCTTTTGTCAATCACTAAGACCATTTCTGAGGCTTCACTATGAATATGGATTTCTATGACTTTATTCTTTGCCTAGTAACTCATTCTTAAATAGTCAGCCTGATACAAGTTATTCCTGGAAAAGAGCTTTTATCTTAAAATAATTTCATGTTCTCTATTATTAATAGTACTGAACTTGGCTGCAAATTAGTTACAAGTGAGTATGAAAACTCAGTGTGCATCAAGGTGAAGATTTCCCCTTAGAGTATCCCAAGGTAATTCTCCTTCCCTCCTTATCTCTCTGTTCTCTCCTACTAGCTTTAGGTATGGTGACTATATTTTTAAGTTAGGCATGAACATCATAATCTATGTGTTTTCTTCTGTGTTATTATTAACAGTACTTTCTTTCACTTTCAAAGGTGTCCTCATTTGAATAACAAATTAAAAACCATCCTATTTTTAGGTAATGTTGTGTATTATTTTAATTTATTTATGTTATAGTTTTATTGGGTTTTGTTTCAGGAATTTTAAAGAGTGGAACAGAGGAAGCACCTCTTATCCCCTTCTTTTTCTAGTGGAAAAGGTTTAGATAAAGAGAAAACAGATTGAAAGAGTGAAGTACTCAGCTATTCACAATAGCAAAGACATGCAATCAACCTAGGTGCCTATCAATGGTGGATTAGATAAAGAAAATGTGGTACACATATACCATGGAATACTACGCAGCCATAAAAAAGAATGAGATCACGTCCTTTGCAGCAACATGGGTGCAGCTAGAGGCCATTCTCCTAAACGAGTTAACAAAGGAACAGAAACCCAAATACCACTTGTCCTCACTTTTAAGTGGGAGCTAAACATTGAGTATACATGGACATAAAGATGGCAACAGTAGACATTAGGGACTACTAGCAGGTGGAGAGATGGAGTGGGGCTAGGGTTAAAAAACTAACTATTGGTTACTACGCTCACTACCTGGGTGACAAGATCAATCATACCCGAAACCTCAGTGTCACGCAATACCATGTAACAAACCCGCACATGTACCCCCTGAATCTAAAATAAAAGTCAAAATTATAAAAAGAAAAAATAGTGAAGTGCTCATTGCTTACTCTTCCTAATCTCAGTCCAAGCAGTGGTGTACATTTGACATATATTTAATGAAAGCAAAAAAAGGCTCAGACCATTAAGCAGAATTCGAACAGATACATTTGGCAAGGATACAATATGCCTAAGGACAATATCAAACAGAAAGTAAACAACATTTACAGAAAAATATGAGCAAGCCTGTTTTGACTCCCTCTTGAACCTTTTGGGCAGATGAGAACTTTCTGGGTAACTCTAAGAGAGACAGAGTAATCCACGGACAGGTGGCTCTAATCCAAGCCAATTTGCACAGGTTACAATTTTCCAGTCTAGTGCTTCCTCTGGGCTGTGATGGAAGACCTCATAGAGATATACAATCACATGACTTACTGTCTACCCTGACTTCAACCAAGATCAGGAGAAATGCATGTGATGTGTGGGGCTCTGCTCAGAAAATGTCAAGATAAGGCTCAACTTAATTCTTTTCCTTATTTTCTTTTTAACTCAAATTCGTCCCTTTATGACCTCATCCTTTGCCTTCAGCAAACTCCTAACTTACCCAGAAGTAGGAGCTGACTTGAATGCGTATGTCTCTACTGCCAATTATTACCTCACTCACACTGTAACATTACTAGCATAGAAAGGGAGCCCTGTTACTAGGGCAACCAGGACGAGTGCAAAAGTTCAGCCACAGTTGGAGCCTCTATTTTAAATGATCAAATTCCAACTGTGTTCTTGACTTATTTTAAATTTGTAGACATAAGAAGGTATAACATTTTATAATTCCTCTGACTTATTATACATGTTTTATCCATATCTCCATAAAGTTCTGTTGACCTGTTCCTTTTCTTCGAAATTCAATAACTTAACTAATTTATTTCTATTAACTAAGGATGACATTCGAAGTATTTAGAACCAAAATGGCATAAGAAGTACCAATCAGAATGAATGTAGTGACCGTATCAGAATGTATACAGTACTAATTATAGATAAGAACCCAACCAGAGCGTAGTAGCCACCAGTCAGTCCAATGTCTAACTAATCCTGACATCTTACCTTCCTCATGAAATAGATTTCTCCTCTGTTCAATTATTGCACACTTATCCTGACTGGCCAACTGGTATCACTATGACGTATAGTTGGAAAAAGAACTAGATTTTGATGTGAAATGCATCCACACCTTTTATGTCAAGCCATAGATGGGATGATTTTTTAAATATTCTATATATTTCCTTCATAGGAAGAAGGACATTGTGTGTTAGAAGGTGGAGAAGAATTTTAGGAAAGAGAAGTAGGAAAGAAGTAGGAAAGAGAAATTTTAGGAAAGAGATCAGGAAGTATATAATCCCTTTCTAGTTGAGAGGTAGGAGTGGTCTCATGTAGTAGTCTGTAGAGTTGTTCCTGAAAATGCTTCTGGTTCTCCCCCTCCCAGGCCCATGCACTTACCATGCCCTTGTGCTTGGGTGGAGCCAAATAATTAGTTCTTATCAGAGTGTGAGCAGAAGTGATTTATGTCACTTCCAGGCAGAATGTTCAATTACTGACTGCTCTGAGACCTCCCCGAGAGCTACTAGCAACCTTCCACATTACAACTGCTATTTCAGCCTTGATCCCAGAGAGACAGCGACAAGCAGTAGAGCCCTCCAGCTGACTCACAATGAAAATGTAGTGAGAGCAAGAAATAAACTTTGTTGTTTCAGACCACTGAGATGTTGGATTTGCTTGTTACTGAGGCATAATCTAACCTATCCTGATTGATACATATTAGTTTTAAGTGCTTATCATTGAGGTCTCCTGTTTACTCTCCTAATTCTGAGATACTTAGTTCAATGGCTGGGAGTCTGTAAACTCTCTCACATTGTACACAAAATTTGGGAGGCTGGAGGAAGTGGGTCCATGGAGTTCATTAAATTCTCCAAAACTCCTGACTTTAGCTCCATCTTATTGCTAATTCCTAAGTAATCCATGAGTTTAGACTATTACCACAAATGACAATCTTAATGACTTGGATCTCCAATCATGCCAACCTTGACTTGCATCTTCTAGTCCTAAATTCTTACCTTGCCTTTGTAAGCCATCATCACTCATTGTATGGCTATGACAAAATGTGTCAATGTCCTACTTCTTGAACCAACTCTGTTTGATGTCAGGGAAATCTGTCTTTAAACTACAGCTAGAGCTGAAATTTCCTAGCTCATCTCTTTTCTGCTGAGCCCTGTATTAACTTGACAGCATCCCAACAGAAATAACACATCTGTTGCTCCTTTAAGATCTATTCTATGAAATGTTGTTGATGTCTCAGTTTTATGAACTATATCTCCACACACTTAAGATGCCTCTGTAGGGTTCAAAATGTATCTCTTTGTTACTCATAACTTTTTATCATCAGTGATTTATTTTGGATACTCAGCTGTAAGTTTGTACATCAAATTCTCTAATAAAAGTAAAATGCTTTAATAACTAGATTTTATTACCTAATAATGGATATTACACATACACATAGAGATATATATATAGTGTATACTAGAATACATTAAGTAATATATTTAAAATATAATTTATAATATATTTAAAATAACAGAATATGCATATGTAGCTGTATTAACCATATTTAAGCAATCAAATATTGACGCAACATTGAAATCTGAGGCAATACTGAAGCAATAAAAACCAATTGTTTTTTGCTAAAAGAATATAAGCATCTTATATGTGATATATATATAATTTCCTATTACTATATAGGATGCTGAATAATGTATGCTTTTCAATATGCCTAGGAACTATCCTCCTAATTTTTTTTTTTTTTAAACGGAGTCTCAGAGTCTTGCTCTGTCACCCAGGCTGGAGTGCAGTGGTGCAATCTCGGCTCACTGCAAGCTCTGCCTCCTGGGTTCACACCATTCTCCTGCCTCAGCCTCCCAACTAGCTGGGACTACAGGCGCCCGCCGCCATGCCTGGCTAATTTTTTTTGTTTTCGTATTTTTAGTAGAGACAGGGTTTCTTCACGTTAGCCAGGATGGTCTCTATCTCCTGACCTCGTGATCCGCCCACCTCGGCCTCCCAAAGTGCTGGGTTTACAGGTGTGAGCCACGTGCCCGGCCCCTCCTAATCTTTTAAAATATGTATTTTAGGGAGAGAGAATTAAACTATGTAGGCTACAAAATATATATCAAAATCCAATACTTCCCTTTCTTCATATTTTGTTTTTATTTTATTGATCTTCTATTGTAAATGACATAAAGTGGTGGTTCTTAAAATTAAATAAGGATATTAATTTAGTATGTTACTTAAATCAGTATCAGTCTTTGAGTGTCCCAATTCTAAAGAACTTTACTATTGTAAATATTTTGCTCTTTCAAGTCCCATAATCCCACATCTTCTGACACTAACTTAATTATGTTATGCATATTTGCTTCTCCAGAAAAAAAGAAAAAGTAGAGTGTCAGGGTACCCTGGTGGTAGCCTAAAGGCAAATGAAATAGAGAAAAGTTAACCAATTCCAATGTGATGCTCTTCTTAAGAAAGCACAGGCAGCTTACTTAAGTCCACTATGAAAAAAAGTATTACCTTCCTGACCTGGTACCAGAACGGTAGAAGAGTTTGTAGACATTCCTAACTCAGGAGCAAGGATAATGTATAACAGTTGTACTGTCACTGATGCTACCTTAGGAGGGAAATATTTAAATATTAAAATATTTTCTTAATAGGACTCTGTTAACTGTTTTCATCAATTCCTCAAGAATAACTATGGAGTTAATAACAAATAGGATAACCTGCCACAGAAATATCACTTTCTCAGATGGTGCTGGGCGATCTCTTATTAATTTATTAAATCAGACTATATAACTTTTGGTAAGCCTTGAAACCTCAGGCTATCAATATACATCAATTTTCCATGACTAGAAAGTAATTATTTCCTACATACTCACCACTGGGAAGAAGGAACTCAGATAGATCTAAAGATATTCATTATCGTATGGGCTCTAGATAACGAATACACACACAACATGTGCATACACACAGGCCACTGAGTTATTAATTCCCATGCTATCATCCATAATTGTATCAAATTTTTCCTCTTTTTAAAAAGAATTATCAAATAATCATTTAGTTAATATAACTTGTGAACCCTAATGAAATATTATAGATTTTAATATTTACTTTTCATTTATGGAAAATCAAATAAGGAACTGCTTTACATTCATAAAGATGCATTCCAATACCATTCAAGCCAGGTGCCATATATTCCATGGGCTAATTTCACTCTATAAGTATCTTTAAGATTACACATTAAGTACTATGGCATAAGACTTTCCTATTTATTAAAGACCTACTGGAGCCAGGTATTCATTTGGGCATTTTGTATGAAATTAATAATAACTATTACAATTGCATGATAACGTAATAATATTATTGCCATAAATTAGGTCATTTCATTATATTGGCCAAATTATTTATTGTTTTTAATTACAGCAATTAATATTTATTGAGAGCTAAAGTACTTCAACTAAAATATATGTTTTCTGTTTTTATAATAGCTACTAATATTTATCAAGAGTTCATTATATGGTGGGCATCATACCAATTGTTTTGCATTTATTATCTTCCTTGATTGTCACAACAACCCTGAAATGGGTACTAACATCCTCATTTTACACTTGAGGAAACTGAGGCTCAGAAAGTATAGTTTACTCAGAGTCACATGGCTAAAGAATGCTGGGACAAAAGTCCATGCTGTTTCTATTATATCACACTGCCTCCCACATAAAATAAAGCCAAAGACAACCAAGATTTTTTGCAACCTTAAAAATTTAGTTTGCCTCTTCACCTTGGAAGCATGCATTTCCCCCAGATTAATGATGATGATGATGTCAGGAATAGTAATATTAATATCACTATTAATATCATTAATTATAAATGATATAACAACTCATTTCTAGAAAATGAGAAAACTGTCTAACGTTTCCGCATTATTTTTGCTCTATGTAGTTAAGATGGGGCTAACATTCAAGTATTTTATTTGCCAAATCAGAATTTTCCCCCTCTAACAAGCTGATAAAATATTTAATAAGAGAGCTGGAGTAAACAACCATGAATAACGATCACAGAACACCTCTTAAGTGTGTCAAATCAGTGTTCATTCTGAATAGGTAATAAAGCACTCCCACAGAGTAACAAGGATCCAACATTGACTATGTTTTTCACTAATGTTTTAAAACTTCACCAATTCAAACAACACTAACTAAACTCGTGATAATTTGGATATGCTGTGCTATTTTACCTTTGTACTATTAAAACCAAGTAATGCAAAACCAATAGTATTAACAGCAGCAAACTGTGCCCTACTGCTGTTTCCTCTAGCTAAATAAGTCTAGTCTCATTCTCTTTCTTCTTCCTCCCTCTTACCCCCTTCCCTCTCCTTCTCCCTCTCCCCTTACTCAACCCCCCTCTCCAGGGCCTCCCTGGGTCAACCCCCTTGACCAGAATCAGCCATTCATTTCCAGCCTTTCTTGCCACCAGCCCTTTCTCGGCAACTGGCTCTGCCCCTTACTCCCAGCCTTAGTAATTAATTGTGCTATTATTGTGAATTAATCGTACAAGCAAGTCAATGTTTAGCCTAATTAAGAGTGAACCCAACAAATTATCTAAAGCACCACTCCAGCAGAATTTGCATCCAGCCTTGTATGAGCAGCCAATCAAGCTTTTCAGCTATTGAATCAAGGAGTTCTGGGCTTCATTAAAACATACAACTCGGCTCTCTTCCCACACTAGCTCCTGAACCCTTTCCCAGTCGTCCATTCTTTACCCACCCCTAAATGCTGTGTTTAGCTACATACCTTTGGAAATCATATTGTATCTCTTTTTTTAATTTGCTACAGTTGGTAGCTTTGTACTTCAATAGTTTCATCAGTTTAGGTCACTTATATTTTATTAAATTTAATTTTTTTCTTACCACCTCCCAAAATAAATTAAACAAATACCACCTCCCAAAACAAACAAATATCACCTCCCAAAATAAATAAAACAAAGAAGCAAACACACAAACACTCCTTCCTTGGAAGGAAGCTACCGGTGTAAACAATGGAAGCAGGCTGACCACCTTATTACTTGAAGAGCAATAAGAAGTGAAAATCACTGTTCTTATCAGTAAAAATGTGCACCTGGGCTTCTACTACTCAATCAATATTGACTAGAAAAGGAAAAAAGTTTGTGTAAGGGATCAGAAAGCATTACTGAAGGTGTTGAAAATGGTGAACTTAACAAAAATTTAATTAAAAATAAACTACTGCTTAAAGTAAAAGTTCACCCTGATTTTTTTCCACTAAATGATAAATCAGCCTTGAGAAAAATTATGTGCTGAAGCCTACAACTGTGACGACAGAAACTGAAGCTACAAACCAGAGAGTCTTTTCATACTTATGAACCACTGTATTAGTGATTCTTTCAAAAATCGGGATAAATGTAAGAGCTCCAGAGGCTAAGGCCTAAGTCAGCTTGGTGCATGGACTTTAATTGGATCTTGAACAATTTCTTTCAGCCTTCGAAGTCTATGCCAGTCTCTCCCTCATTTATTTTTCCTATTTATCCTTGCTTGCTTTTGCTGCCCCCTCAGCACATAGAAACCATGCATTTTGGCCGGGCGCGGTGGCTCACGCCTGTAATGCCAGCACTTTGGGAGGCCAAGGCGGGCGGATCACGAGGTCAGGAGATCAAGACCATCCTGGCGAACATGGTGAAACCCCGTCTCTATTAAAAATACAAAAAAATTAGCCGGGCGTGGTGGTGGGCGCCTGCAGTCCCAGCTACTCGGGAGGCTGAGGCAGGAGAATGGCGTGAACCCGGGAGGCGGAGCTTGCAGTGAGCCGAGATCCCGCCACTGCACTCCAGCCAGGGCGACAGAGTGAGACTCTGTCTCAAAAACAAACAAACAAACTAACAAAAAAAGAAACCATGCATTTTACACTTTAGGAAAGTCTCCATTTCAGATATTCTCTCCTGCCACCTCCTTTGGTGCAGTCGTCCTGGTCAGATCACACTTACTGAGGGTACTCACCACACCCAGCCAGATGAGTTCTCCACGTGACTTCTTACTAAAGCTTATCAAAAAGGAAACAGAACAGAGAGACAGAGTCTATTCCATTCTCATTACAGTCACCACCTAACTTTCACCTTCACGTTGTTCAGGTCCTGAATACGTAACATTTATTTTCAAATAAATAGTAACATTTATTTTCAAAATTGCCTGTATCACTTTGTCTTATTTCTCAATTTCTCTCTCTGAAATACTTAACACATAGTGATGTATTAATATTGGTAATTGATTCTCTGGAAAAGGCTTTGTATCAAGAAAAATGGAACTTTTCCTTTTGATTAACACTAAAAAAATCAGCTTCTTCATATTCTGCCCCAAATAGTATGCGCTCTTTGGAAACATTCCAGTTCACAGAAGGATTTTTACCAGTGAGTCAAATGTCTAATTCCCTCAGTGCTAGACACAGTATTTATCATTATAATATGAAAATAAGTCTATAAACATATAGATGCATATGCAAGCATATAAGTATCTATGCATACTGTTACTTAAACCTGTTTTGGAACATAAAGTAAAAGGGGCCAAGCACATCACAAAATAACAAGTGCTTATTAAAGAGTTCACTATGTATTTCCTCAAAAAGCCCATTAACAACACAGCAGGAGAATATTTCAACACCAAGTTTCAGAAATTCAGAAGGGGGAAGATACCCTTCTTTTCCTGTGATTCATTAATGAGACAATCAGTGCTGAAAACATGCCTTTTGCTGCCATCAAGTGGCTCTTTTCAGAATATTCTGATCAACGTCATGGTGTGCTAGCACTGCTTCCCCCACCACTTCCTTCCTTGTACATTATACATTATCATCCTTTGGGGAACAGGAATATTTGAAAAGACCAAGCAAGCCTTTCCTAAATTAGGGCTTTATACTATGGATGCTATAAAAATTACATTACTAAGAAATTATTCAGAAAGACAACTTCAAAAAGTGTTTGAAGTACCCAAAACTGAAAAATCCTTCCCAGCCCTGGGTGACCTTTTCAGTTTCTAGTCAGTAAAGATTTTGACCTGAACTTGGGAGCATGCCTCTCTTTATTAATACCAAATAAATAATTTCTAAATAGACTGGTTCAGGGTACATAGTTGAAAAGAGAGGAAATTAGAAAATGTATTTGGAATAATTTTTAATCAAGTCAAATCCCATTACTATGGAAGAAAATAGTTTTCTATTGATGTCTCATTTTCTCAAGCCTT
This sequence comes from Homo sapiens, assembly GCF_000001405.40. Classification (NCBI taxonomy): domain Eukaryota; kingdom Metazoa; phylum Chordata; class Mammalia; order Primates; family Hominidae; genus Homo; species Homo sapiens. The sequence goes on along the minus strand of NC_000012.12, from coordinate 43,957,453 downwards.
CATTCCTATATATAAATAATGCAGCATATTGTATAGTCACTGCAAAAGTTCAACTGTGATTACTATAGAATTCTCATTTTAATATAGTTGGTTGCCTAGCTCCTTTTTCTTTGAATATCTTGCCTTTTTTATAGCTTTTTCTTTTTTTAAGTTCTGGGGTACATGTGCAGGATGAGTAGGTTTGTTTCATAGGTAAATGTATGCCATGGTGGTTTGCTGCACCTATCAACCCATCAGCTAGGTATTAAGCCCAGCGTGCATCAGCTCTTTTCTCTAATGCTCTCCCACTCCCACTCTTCCCCAACAGGCCCCAGTGTCTGTTGTTCCCCTCCCTGTGTCCATGTGTTCTCATTGTTCAACTCCCACTTATAAGTGAGAATATGCAATGTTTGGTTTTCTGTTCCTGCATTAGTTTGCTGAGGATGATGGCTTCCATCTTCATCCATGTCCCTACAAAGGACATGATCTCGTTCTTTTTTATGTCTGCATACTATTCCATGGTGTGTATGTACCACATTTTCTTTATCCATTCTATCACTGATGGGTATTTGGGTTGATTCCATGTCTTTGCTATGGTAAATAGTGCTGCAATGAACATAGGTGTGCATGTGCCTTTATAATAGAATGATTTATAAATCCTTTGGGTATATACCCAGTAATGGGATTGCTGGGTCGAATGGTATTTCTGGTTCTAAATCTTTGAGGAATCACCACACTGTCTTCCACAATGGTTGAACTAATTTACATTACCAACAGTGTAAAAGTGTTTCTATTTCTCTACAACCTCACCAGCATCTGTTGTTTCCTGACTTTTTAATAACTGCCATTCTGACTGGCATGAGATGGTATCTCATTGTGGTTTTGATTTGCGTTTCTCTAATGATCAGTAACATTGAGCTCTTTTTCATGTGTTTGTTGGTTGCATGTACGTCTTTTTTTTTTTTTTTTTTTTTGAGAAGTGTCTGTTTATATCCTTTGCCCACTTTTTAACAGGGTTGTGTTTTTACCTTGTAAATTTGCTTAAGTTCCTTATAGATTCTGGATATTAGACCTTAGTCAGATGGATAGATTGCAAAGATTTTCTCCCATTCCATAAGTTGTCTGTTCACTCTGATGATAGTTTCATTCACTGTGCAGAAGCTCTTTAGTTTAATTAGACGCCATTTGTCAATTTTTGCTTTTGTTGCAATTGCTTTCGGCAATTTCATCATAAAGTCTTTGCCCATGCCTATGTCCTGAATGGTATTGCCTAGATTGTCTTCTAGGGTTTTTATAGTTTTGGGTTTTACATTTAAGGCTTTAATCCATCTTGAGATAATTTTTGTATAAGGTGTAAGGAAGAGATCCAGTTTCAATTTTCTGCATATAGCTACCAAGTTCTCCCAGCACCATTTATTAAATAGGAAATCCTTTCCCCATTGCTTGTTTTTGTCATGTTTGTTGAAGATCAGATGGTTGTAGATGTGCGAGTTTATTTCTGAGTTCTCTATTCTGTTCCAATGGTCTACGTGCCTATTTTCGTACCAGTACCATGCTGTTTTGATTACTGTGGTGTTGTAGTAAGTTTAAAGGCATCATAGCATGATACCTCCAGCTTTGTTCTTCTTGCTTACAACTGTCACTTTAGCTATGCGAGCTCTTTTTTGGTTCCATATGAATTTTAAAATAGATTTTTCTAATTCTGTGAAGAATGTCAACGGTAGTTTAATGGGAATAGCATTAAATCTATAAATTGCTTTGGGCAGTATGGCCATTTTCATGACATTGATTCTTCCTATCCATGACCGTGGAATGTTTTTCCATCTGCCTGTGTCCTTTCTGATTTCCTTGACCGGTCTGTAGTTTTCCTTAAAGAGGTCCTTCACTTCCCTTGTTAGCTGTATTCCAAGATATTTTATTCATTTGTGGCAATTGTGAATGCGAGTTCATTCATGATTTGGGTTTCTGCTTGTCTGCAGTAGATGTATGGGAATGCTTGTGATTTCTGCAAATTAACTTTGTATCCTGATACTTCACTAAAGTTGTTTATCAGCTTAAGAAGCTTTTGAGCTGAGATGATAGGGTTTCTACATATAGGATAATGTCATCTGCAAACAAAGACAAATTGACTTCCGCTCTTCTTACCTGAATACCCTTTCTTTCTTTCTCTTGCTTGATTGCCCTGGCCAGAACTTCCAACACCATGTTGAATAGGAGTAGTGAGACAGGGCATCCTTGTTTTGTGCCAGTTTTCAAGTGCAATGCCTCCAGTTTTTGCCCATTCGGTATGTTATTGATATGTTATTGACTGTTTTTTGTCATAAATGGCTCCTATTATTTTGAGGCATGTTCCTTCAACACCTAGTTTATTGAGTTTTTAACATGAAGCGGTGTTGAATTTTATCAAAAGCCTTTTCTGTGTCTATTGAGATAATTATGTGGTTTTTGTCTTTAGTTCTGCTTATGTGGTGAATTGCATTATTGATTTACGTATGTTGAACCAGCCTTGCATCCTGGGGACGAAGCCAACTTGATCGTGGTGGATAAGCTTTTTGATGTGCTGCTGGATTCAGTCTGCTGCCAATATTTTATTGTGAATTTTTGCATGAATGTTCATCAGGGATATTGGCCTGAAGTTTTCTTTTTTTGTTGTATCTCTGCCAGGTTTTTGTATCAGGATGATGCTGGCCTCATAAAGTGAGTTATGGAGGATTCCCTCCTTTTCAATTGTTTGGAATAGTTTCAGAAGAAATGGTACCAGCTCCTCTTTGTACCTCTGGTAGAATTCTGGACCTGGGCTTTTTTTGGTTGGTAGGCTATTTATTACTCCCTCAATTTCAGAACTTATTATTGCTCTATTCAGGGATTCAACTTCTTCTGGGTTCAGTCTTAGGAGGGTTTATGGGTCCAGGAATTTATCCATTTCTTCTAGATTTTCCAGTTTATGTGCATAGAGTTGCTTATAGTATTCTCTGAGGGTTGTCTGTATTTCTGTGGGGTCAGTGGTGGTATCCGCCTTATCATTTCTGATTGTGTTTATTTGAGTCTTCTCTTCTTCTTTATTAGTCTCACTAGCAATCTACTTTATTGATTTTTTTTCAAAAAACCAGCTCCTGGATTCATTGATTTTTTGAAGGGTTTTTCATATCTCTATCTCCTTCAGTTCCACTCTGAGCTTGTTTATTTCCTGTCTTCTGCTAACTATGAGATTTGTTTCCTCTTGGTTCTCTAGTTCTTTTAGTTGTGATGTTAGGGTGTCAATTTGAGATCTTTCTAGCTTTTTCATGTGGGCATTTAGTGCTATACATTTCTCTTAATACTGCTTTAGCTGCATCCCAGAAATTCTGATACATTGTTTCTTTGCTCTTTTTGGTTTCAAACAACTTCTTGATTTCTGCCTTAATTTCATTATTTACCCAGAAGTCATTCAGGAACAGGTTGTTCAATTTCCATGTAGTTGTGTGGTTTTGAGTAGGCTTTTAAATCTTGAGTTCCAATTTGATTTCACTGTGGTCTGAGAGACTTTTGTTATGATTTCAGTTCTTTTGCATTTGCTGAGGAGTGTTTTACTTCCAGTTATTTGATCAATTTTAGAGTAAGTGCCATGTGGTGCTAAAACAAAAATGTATATTCTGTTGTTTTGGGGGGGAGAGTTCTGTAGATATCTATCAGGTCCACCTGGTCTAGAGCTGAGTTCAAGTCCTGAATATATTTTTTAATTTTCTGTCTCAATGATCTGTCTAATACTGACAGTGGGGTATTAAAGTCTTCTACTATTATTGTGTGTGGGGGTCTAAGTCTCTTTGTAGGTCTCTAAGAACTTGTTTTATTAATCTGGGTGCTCCTGTATTGGGTGCATATATATTTAGGATAGTTAGCTCTTCTTGTTGAATTGAACCTTTTAACATTATGTAATGCCCTTTTTTGTCTTTTTTGACCTTTGTTGCTTTAAAGTCTATTTTGTCAGAAGCTAGGATTGCAACTCCTGCTATTTTCTGCTTTCCATTTGCTTGGTAAATTTTCCTCCATCCCCTTATTTTGAGTCTATGTGTGTCTTCGCACATGAGATATGTCTCTTGAAGACAGCACACCGGTGGGTCTTGTCTTTGTATCCAGCTTGCCATTCTGTGTCTTTTAATGGGGCATTTAGCCTATTTACATTTCAGGTTAATATTATTACGTATGAATTTGATCCTGTCATCATGATGGTGGCTGGTTAATTTTGCAGACTTACTAATGTAGTTGTTTCATAGTGTCATTGGTCTGTGTACTTCAGTGTGTTTTTGTAGTAGCTGGTAATGGTTTTTCCTATCCGTATTTAGTGCTTCCTGAAGGAAGCACTAAATATGCAAGACAGGCCTGGTGATGACAAAATCCCTCAGCATTTGTTTGTCTGAAAAAGATTTTATTTCTCCTTTGCTTTTGAAGCTCAGTTTGGCTGGATATGAAATTCTGGGTTGGAATTTCTTTTCTTTAAGAATGTTGAATATTGGCCCCCAGTCTCTTCTGGCTTGCAGGGTTTCTGCTTAGGGGTCTGCTGTTAGTCTGATGGGCTTCCCTTTGTTGGTGACCTGGCTTTTTTCTCTTGCTGCCCTTAGCATTTTTTTCTTCATTTCAACTCTGGAGAATCTGGTGATTACGTGTCTTGGAGTAGATCTTTTCATGGAGTATCTTATTGAGGTTCTCTGGATTTCCTGAATTTGAATACTGGTCTGTCTTACTAGGCTGGTGAAGTTCTCCTGGATGATATCCTGAAGTGTGTTTTTCCACTTAGTTCCATTTTCCCCATCTCTTTCAGGTACTTCAATCAGTTGTAAGTTCCATCTTTTTACATAGTCCCATAATTCTTGGAGGTTTTGTTCATTCCTTTTCACATTCTTTATTCTCTAATCTTGTCTGCCTGCCTTATTTCAGCAAGACAGTCTTCAAGCTCTGATATTCTCTCTTCTGCTTGGTCAGTTCAGCTATTGATACTTGTGTCTGCATCACAAAGTTCTCTTGCTGTGTTTTTCAGACCCATCAGGTCATTTATGTTCCTCTACAGACTGTTTATTCTAGTTAACAGCTCCTGTAATGTTTTATCATGGGTCTTAGCTTCTTTGAATTGGGTTAGAACATAATCCTTTGGCTCAGTGAAATCAGTTATAACCCACTCTCTAAAGCCTACTTCTGTCAGTTCATCCATCTCAGCTTCAGCCCTGTTCTGTGCTGTTGCTGGAGAGATATTGTGATCATTTGGAGGAAAAGAGGCATTCCGGCTTCCGGGATTTTCAGCATTTTTGCATTGGTTTTTCCTCATTTTTGTGGATTTATCTACCTTTGATCTTTGAGGCTGATGACCTTTGGATGGGGTTTTTGTGGGGTCTTTTTTGTTGTTGTTGCTGTTGTTATTGTTGCTTTCTGTTTGTTTGTCTTCTAACAGTCAGGCCCCTCTTCTGCAGGTCTGCTGCAGTTTGCTGGGGGTCCACTCCAGACTCTGTTCGCCTGGGTTATCACCAGTGGAGGCTGCAGAACAGCAAAGATTGCGGCCTGCTCCTTCCTCTGAAAGGTTCTTCCCAGAGGGGTACCAACCTGATGTCAGCCAGAGCTCTCCTGCATCAGGTGTCTGCTGACTCCTGTTTGGAGGTCTCACCCAGATAGGAGGCATGGGGTCAGGGACCCTCTTGAGGAGGCAGTCTGTCCCTTAGCAGAGCTGGTGTGCTGTGCTCAGGGAATCGCCCTCATCAGGATCAGAGCCCTCATCAATCTCTTCAGAGCTGGCAGGCAAGAAAGATTAAGCCCGCTGAACCTGAGACCACGGCCACCCCTCCCCACAGGTGCTCTGTCCCAGGGAGATGAGAGTTCAGTCTGTAAGCCCCTAACTGGAGCTGGTGGACTTTCTACAGGGAGGCCCTGCCTGCTGAGGAAGGATCTAGAGAAGCAGTCTGGTCACAGCTGTTTTGCTGCACTGCGGGGAATTCTGCCCAGTCCAAACCTCCCAAACCACCTACTGAAGCCACAGTAATGGCGCTTCCCCTCCCCCTGGCAACTTGATCATCCCAGGCAGATTCGAGACTGCTGTGCTGGTAATGGGGATTTCAAGCCAGTGGTTCTTAGCTTACTGGGCTCTATAGGAGTGGGAGCCACTGAGCAAGACCACTTGGCTCCCTGGCTTAAGCCCCTTTTCCAAAGGAGTGGACGCTTGCGTCTCACTGGAGTTCCAAGTGTCACTGGAGTATGTAAAAAACTCCTGCAGCTCAGTGCCTGCCTGAACAGCCACCCAGTTTTGTGCTTGAGACCCAGGGCCCTGGTGGTGTAGGCTCACAAGGTAATCTCTTGATTCATGGATTGCAAAAATCCATGGGAAAAGCATAGTAACCCTGGTGGGTAGCACAGTCCCCCGCCACTTCCCTTGGCTGGGGGAGGGAGGTCCCCCCACTCCTCTGGGCTCCATGCACTTCCTGGGTGAAGCAATGCCCCACCCTGCTTCTGCTCACTCTCCATGGGGCGCACCCACTGCCTAGCCAGTCCCAGTAGGATGAACTGGGTACCTCAGCTGGAAATGCAGAAACCATCTGCCTTCTGTGTTGGTCTCCCTGGGAGCTGCAGACCCGAGCTGTTTCTATTCGGCCATCTTGGCCCCTCCCACCATCTTCCCTTTGTTCCACAAGAGATCATTAAACTGATAGTAGAATTTACAAAAATAAGGACAATTGTTACTTCTAAAACAAAGCCAAAATACTGAGGAAAATATTTCTTTTGAGAAAAAAAATTTTGTCTGTTAGTGCACATGCTTGAGCCCACTAGCCCAACTTCTGAGAGCTTATCGGGAAGCTGCTGATCACCAGGAATTTGCTATCTAATGGGAGACTGCCTTTCCCTGGCATTGGCTGCGACCAATTATTATTTTGGAGAGACTGTTTAACAAAAGTACACTTTTTTTTTTTGAGAAAAAAAAAATAGTTCAGAGCAGTCTGAGCTATGTGAGGTACTCAGGCCCAGAAAGACATGAGTATGAAACTTCAGTCATTGCCCCCAACCCCACAAGACCCCACCCCCAGCCTCCACCACACCCATCACCCATGCCTGGGGGCAATTGTTTAAAGTCATTTTGTTCCTGACCAGCTGTATAGCCAATCAACAGCTTGTGTTATTTTAATGTAAATTCTTGGTGAACAGCTCAAAATCTGCCTCTTCTTTTCCTTTAACAAAACACTTATAACTGCTGTTAATTGAAGCATATATTCAGGGCCATTTGAATCTATGATCCTGGGTTGCAGTCCTCAAGATTGGCCTAAACAAACTCTACTTATATTAATTTTGCCTCAGTTTCTTCCTTTTAGGTCAACACTTTCATATTCTGAGAAAGCAGCAAATCAGAGTATTGGTTCCTTTGATTGGAAAATGCATCAATATGATTTTTTTCACTAAAAGAAAAGCCCTTGATAAATCAAAGTGGATAGAAGTTGAGGCAAAAGGAAACTAAATTGCTCTACATAATAAAACAGGAATTCAAGTTATTTGGGGAGGGGTGTCCAGAGAAAAGTAAGAACCTGAAACTGGGAGAAGAGAATAGCTGGGGATGTTTTGAGGTTCTAAAATCCAAAGGAAACTGTATATTAAAATCACAAAACTGCACCTATGGTAGCAGTTCCCCGGGAGATATTTTTCCCCCAGAGCCCAGTTTAAGTACAAGCTTCCTTGATGCTTGCCTGTGCTAAGTGGTTTTGTTGGAGTAGGTAGCTAGGCAGACATGAGCAGGGCAGGAGAGGGCCCTCCTCAGGAATGTCAGGCTACCATCAGGAGATAGGCAGTCATTAAACAGTCTCTCCAAAATAATAATTGGTCGCAGCCAGTGCCAGGGAAAGGCAGTCTCCCAACAGATAGCAAACTCTTGGTGATCAGCAGCTTCCCGACAAGATCTCAGAAGTTGGGCTAGTGGGCTCAAGCATGTGCAGTAACTGACAAAATGGCGGAGTTTAACTAGTATATGACCTTCCTCTGGGAACACTTGACTGCTAAGGGAAAAATGCCTTGAATGAGTATGCACACAACTTCAGTAAACACACTGCACATGCAGCACCTCCCAAGTGCTGGCAGGCTACTGAGCATGCAAACAGTCCACTCCAAGGGAAGAATCAGCGGAGAAGAAATGCAAACCTCAGAACCATTCCAATGTATAAAAACCCAAGTCAAAGGTTAGATGGGGCACTTGGATCTCTCAAGTTGTCCGCTTGGCCCTCTTCCAAGTGTACTGTACTTCCTTTCATTCTTGCTCTAGAATTTTTAATAAACTCTCACTCTTGCTCTGAAACTTGTCTCAGTCTCTCACTCTGCCTTATGTCCCTTAGCTGAATTCTTTCCTCTAACAAGGCAAAAATCCAGTTTGCTGCAGATCCGATGGATTCAGTGCTGCTAACAGTTACATGTTTTCCATTTCACCTCCCCCTCCCACTGTAGCCCATTGCGGGATCATCTGTGTGGAAATTTCTATTTTCAATTTTTCAATTAATATGAGCCAAATCCTTGTTTCTGGTCCCTACATAAGGGTTAAAATTCAAGTGCCTAAGTCACCTCCACTGAGCATCTCAGTATCAATCAGTTGTTAGTCTTACCGCCCGAGTTTTCAGATCCTTCTGCATTTTTGTCCTCTGGGATTTTTCCTGACCTTTGGGTAAACTCAGCTATGCATTTTAAAGGAGTATACCAAGCTGCATTATCTCCTCCAGCTGTTCTAAAGATTTTGTAGTAGGCAAGGCTTCAGGTTACCTAGTCTGCCACCTTGTAAAAAAAAAGAAGTTACTCATAAAATGGCTACATGCAAAACTATGCCCAGAATCAGCACCTTCTCCTCAGCAGAACCCTCAACATTTATAAAATGATGAGTTTAGTTACATCTTGGTGACTTAAAGAATAAAGGAGGTTCTCTTTGGAAGGCTGAGGCAGGCGGATCACGAGGTCAGGAGATCGAGACCATCCTGGCTAATACGGTGAAACCCCGTCTCTATTAAAAATACAAAAAATTAGCCGGGTGTGGTGGCAGGCACCTGTAGTCCCAGCTACTTAGGAGGCTGAGGCAGGAGAATGGCATGAACCCAGGAGGCAGAGCTTGCAGTGAGCCGAGATCATGCCACTGCACTCCAGCCTGGGCGACAGAGTGAGACTCAGTCTCAAAAAAAAAAAGAATAAAGGAGGTTACAATAAGCAGCATTTTAGTGGTATAAGGAACAGAGGTGCAGAAAGAGAGTCAAATTTGAGACAAGGTTTTTCCTCGTGGTGCTACAAATATGGATTGTCTGAGCCTTGATCCTTTTTAGCTCAACCAACTAACTTACCTCTTTCCCTCTCCATCTGACTGCCTTTCAGCTTGGCTCCCCAGAGATGTCTAAAGCCATAAGAGTTAGTGCATACTTCAGGGAATCCACTGTAATGAGAAGAACAGGAGCCAGGCAACTCTGGGCTAAAAACTCTTGAGGTTCCGGTCTAGATAAACCTAGGGATTCTTTTCTCTATAGTAAGAGATCATGAGACCCCAGTTTAGATTAAATTTATACCATTCCTAAAATTGGCATACATGCACACAAAATGCAGACCAGTCTAAGAAAACTCCTTCTTCCCCTTGGAAACCCTACAGCCACTCACCATTCATTCTAGTCCTGAACTCCTCCAGTTTGGAAAGGAATCCTAAAATACATTAACACAGATCTAGCCATCATAGGATATTCTTGAAACTGTTTTGGAAATAATTCTAGGCCCGTATTCCTAGAGAGACCTATAAACAAAGACACATTGGACTCCCCACAAATTCAGTGTAATGCAAATGAGATTCAGTGTAAAGAATCCTGAATTCCTCTCTACTACCAAGAATCTTCTGACATAAAACCAGTTACTTGTGATGTCTGTGTGCTCACTGTCCTTTCTGCACTCTCTGGCTCCATCATTCCCTGTGCTACATGGGATGAAGCAATACCTCAGAAAACATGGTGTCTTCTAGGACAACCCCAATAGCACAGTTGTATCCACTTGCTCTAAGAACTGATTTTCCTCCAAGTTTACACTCCTATTTCAATGTGCTCACTTGATCAAATGATGTGTCATAAAAGTTAATTATACATCTTTTATAAATGGTGATTTAATTTTTATTTTTTATTTTTCTTTTTAGAGGCAGAGTCTTGTTGTTTCACCCAGGCTGGAGTGCAGTAACACAATCATAACTCACTGTAACCTTGAACTCCCAAGCTCAAGCAATCCTCCTGCCTCAGCTTTCCAAGTAGCTAGGACTACAAGGCGTGCCATCACCCCCAGCTAAGTTTTTTTATTTTTTGTAAGAGACAAAGTCTCACTCTGTTGCCCAGACTGGTCTCAAACTTCTGGCCTTAAGTGATCCTGCTGCCTCAGCCTCCCAAAGCACTGGGATTATAGGCATAAGTCACCATGCTCAGCCTTGATTTATTTTTTCTGCAGAACTAAACCATTTGTCCCTTGCTTTGAATTTTTCTAAAATGTGGCACCTTTAATATATCCTCTCAGTAAACGATGCTTTTCCTATGAAGATGAGGCATAATGGTGAAGAGTTCAACAGTTACCTAAAAATCTGCAAGATTGTATTTAGTCTGAGAATAAAAAAGACCACTTTCAATTTTAGTTAGGCTACACATAAATTCTAGGCTAACTATTCTCTTATTTCCTAAGCATATCTCCTGCTTCTTTCATTGTCAAATTCAGCTTGAATAATAAAACACAGAGAAAGGCTAATAGGATATGGTGAATGAGTAACAGGGTCAACCATCAATCGGACCTGTGTTCTCCTTTAAACAACAAAGTGGCAAAATGTCTCTAGTCCTCAGTTTCTTGATCTGCAAAATGGAGGTAATAACTCCTATTCCATGGAGTCACTGCGAGATTTAATTGAGATAATTCATGCCTGGTGTAAATGTTCAACAACTATTAACTCTCATTTTATTTCCAGCTATTGAGTGCTTTACAGAGTACAAGGAATTACTTATTGCATTTAATTTATTGCTTTCAAATCTGCTCCCTTCCTCAGAATAAGCATTTCCAGTTAGCACAGACCTCATTAGCTCTAGATAAAAAAACAAACAAAAAAAAAAAAAAAACAGAATTATATCAAAAGTCAGCTTCTGAGCAGAAGATATATTTTATATATTATATCATGTATTATTTCCAGCAATTGCTTTTAAAATGTAGTTTTCACAGAGGTTCCTTCTCCTTCTGCTCTCAGTGCTTTGAGTTCAAAAACAACTCACAGAGAAACCTTTGGCTGTGTTAGCTAACTCCAATCATTACCCATTCTAGTATTACAGGCACTGCTCCAAGGCTGAGACATATTCTGACTAGCCATAGGTTACAGCCTTCAAAACAGACCTGGTATTAAAACTATCATTCTAAGTCCAAGAAATAATTACAAAGTATTTTAATAACTTTCTAAAGCCTGAACATTTTATCTAAAATCACATTCGTGAATTTATCACTTGTTAGTATAAACTAAAATATAAAACATGTGAAATGTATTTTTCCCTTTGCTATTCATCTCCTTTAGTGGTGAGGGAAAAACAATGAAATTCTAAATGAGCTTCCCTCTCAGTACTGAACAATGGTAGCCAAAATCTATACGTAACATCAAAACAGTTCCATGTTTCCCATGGAACTGGACAATAATCCTGCCTAGCCTACATTTAGAAGAAAAGGATATTACCTAACTTTCTGATCTATTGGGGAAAATAGATCAAAATCTTTCTCAGTAACTATTTCAACACACAACAAATACCTAAAGTGGTTTATTATTGTCACAAATCTAATTTTAATACTAAGCCAATCTCCTTACATTCCGGCCTTAAAACTTACTGAGAGCAGGCCAGATGCAGTGGCTCAAGCCTGTAATCCCAGCACTTTGGGAGGCCAAAGCGGGTGGATCACCTGAGGTCAGGAATTCGAGACCAGACGAACCAACATGGTGAAATCCCACCTCTACTAAAAAATAACAAAAATTAGCCAGGTGTGGTGGCAGGCGCCTATAATCTCAGCTACTAGGGAGGCTGAGGAAGGAGAATTGCTGGAACCCGGGAGGCAGAGGTTGCAGTGAGTGAGCCGAGATCGCGTCACTGCACTCCAGCCCTGGCTGACAACAGCGAGATTCCTTCTCAAATAAACTTACTGAGAACAAACCAAGAGGAAATTATACTGAAAGACCAATCCTTGTGTTTCATTATATAATGAAAGAAAGAAGTGAAGAAAGTTAGAAAAATTATACAACTACTTGTTGGCACATATTTCATGTCTTAGTGATTTGATAAGTATATATCACAAGCTAGGAGTTAATACAGGGTGGCCCACTTTATTTATTTATTTATTTATTTATTTATTTAGAGACGGAGTCTTGCTTTGTTGCCAGGCTAGAGTGCAGTGGCACGATCTTGGCTCACTGCAACCTCCGCTTCCTGGGTTCAAGCAATTCTCCTGCCTCAGCCTCCCAAGTAGCTGGGACCACAGGCCTACACCACCACGCCTACCTAATTTTTATATTTTTAGTAAAGATGGAGTTTCACCATGTTGGCTAGGATGGTCTCCATCTCCTGACCTTGTGATCCGCTGCCTCAGCCTCCCAAAGTGCTGGGATTACAAGCATGAGCCACCATGCCCAGCTGTGGCCCACTTTTAAAACAACCTATTTATAACAAAGGTCTCTCTCTCTCAGGACTGTCAAGAGAGTTAAAGAAAATGCCTCCTGTACCACTTTTATTTAGCCAGGCATTGCAGACCAATGAAATTGCAAACCTGGAAACCTTCATCTTAGCCCCACTCTATGAATCATTTGAATATATGCAAATCAATAAGATTTCCTGATTCTCATACCCCCTTGTCAGTATAATGAAATTAGTACCTGCCCTCCCACCACCCTATATAAAAGTCCTAAAGGATAAAGAACAAAATCTAAATATTGTAATGTACTATATGCTTCCTGGAAAAAAAAAATGTTAATGTCTTAGGTAAGAAAAATACATAAAATACTCCTTCTTCTTAGGGTAGAATATTTGTAAAGCAGACTTAGACTACTACAAGCTAAAAAACTCTTAAATTCTTACAAGTTTCAAACATAACACTCACCACAGTAGAAAGGGGAAAGAAAACCTACCCCATGTTCCCATCCATTAGAAGAATCGTGTTGTATATGTGAGAAAATATGAAGAGAAAGAGAATTGTGCTGAAGAACATTGTCATCCACGACCCATGATCTTCTCGAAACATTTTTAATCGGAGCAACTGACCTGAAATACAAATATTATTAAAAATTAATGTACACTGTAACTCAAAATTCATGGATCTTTGCTTTATTTTAATGAATCTTTTAATGTCTCACTATATTCTGAAGTCTTTGCCATAAGACTGCCTTATGAGTGAAGCCACAATATAATGTTCTTTTTGCTGTTTTGTAAATAAGTGATCATAAATAAAGTCGAAGACGATCCTCATATCACATTTCATCCTAGAGTAAATACTACTAATCCAAGAATCTAGTGTTCAGAGATAGTTCATCATGCTAGCATGAAAACAAGATGAATTACAGCCCTACTTACCTGCTATTTTTTATTTTACAAATATGTTTTTGGTTCATAGCGAACAGTAAAGAAGTTGCATGAATCCTATATCGTTTCCCTTTGCTTCTATAGATCCATTCCCAATACTGGCCAGATGATAAAACCAAGGCCAACCTTACTTACAAGGTCTAATTGTTTAAGGTACATGAAAACTTGAAAGAAAAAATTAAGTCTCTGTTATAAAACATGCAGCTTAGCCTCACTCTTAACAAACATGCCCCTGTACAAGTACAAACACAAGTGCATATGAGAGGTGACAATGTATGTGTTAATGAAGCTTGGTGTGGCTCCTGGCAAAACATAATTTTCACCCTGATGATAAAATTCCATTTATGAAGACAAATGCTAAAGTTAGAGAGAATGTTAAGATGCAAACACTTTAAGGAAGAAACATATATTAAGATGAACACTAAAGTAAAAATTACTAATATCAGAATTCGATCAGAGAAATGTTTTGATTTATGGTAAAGAGAAATGATGGCACCAGTACCCTGAAAGATGAGGAAGGTAAAAAACCTTGGGAGTAAGAAAGAAGTGAGCATAGGTCACCCTGGCTTCTCCCAAGATAAACCGTGTCTATTATACTTACCTCCTTTCCTAAGAATAATAATGGAGATGATGTGCATATAGGAACTACAATTAAAATAGAGTAGAGTAGACCTGAATCTTACAATAAATTTTTTTTTTTTTTTTTTTTTTTTTTGAGACAGAGTCTTGCTCTGTTGCTGGGCTGGAGTGCAGTGGCGTGATCTCAGCTCACCACAACTTCCGCCTCTCGGGTTCAAGTGATTCCCCTGCCTCAGCCTCCCAGGTAACTGGGATTACAGGCATGCGCCACCATGCCTGGCTAATTTTTTGTATTTTTAGTAGAGGCGGGGTTTCACCGTGTTGGCCAAGATGGTCTCGATCTCCTGACCTCGTGATCTGCCCTCCTCGGCCTCCCAAAGTGCTGGGATTACAGGCCTGAGCCACCACGCCCATCCTAAAATTTCTTACGTTAGAAAATATTCCCTTTTTTAATGATATGTCAGTTATGAAATATATGTATGTATTTCTATCTGGAAATTATCTCTCTAGCGACAAACAGTATCTCTCATATATCTCACTGAGCATAGGAAGAAATAATCTTTTAAGATTTAACTATTGAACTTTTCCTTATATCTCACCTTTATGAAAACAGTACTTTAGATTTCATTTGGAAACTAGGCTAACAGAAACATTATCCTAGCTAAAACTTGAGATGAAGAGTAAAAAAAAAAGAGCGGGGAGGAGATTTGGTTACATCATGCCATGGATTCTTGGCCTATCCAAGAGAAGCAAAGGTTAAAACTGAAAGTCAGGGAGAATGTGACTGTATAACTAAAAGAAGAAAGTGGAAAACGTTCTACTAAAACAAATGATACTAGCCCCCACAAATTATAAGATCATAGAAACTGCTGATTAATTTAATCAATAATTATGAAAAACCAGGGATTTTCAAGCCTCCACACAACATACTGACAAGAATATTAAAAAAATATATTAACCACAGAATGCTTGAGAGTAAAACCACATGCTACAAATATTTTACACTATAAAGAATATTTATTCATTCATTGAACAAATATTTAATGTGTGCCTATTACATGCCAGACACAGTTCTAGGTGCTGGAGATTCAACTGTAAGCAATGCAGGACAGTGCTTGAAGTCAATTATCATCTGAGTATTTAATGGAATTGTGACCTTACTTTGGACTCATGGGCTCTCTTTGTTCAGGGGCCCCTTTGCTGCAAGTCCTTTCAGCTTTAGACCAAGACCTATTTATTTAATTCAGCAGTTGATAATGAAGCACTTCAAAGACCGGCAATTAGAGTTCCTTTAAGATTTAAATGTAAATTTCTTTCTTAACATAAGCATATGTCAAACACATTCACTAGCAAATGTATGTTAAGAGTCAAATAATAATGCTGGTGATTTAACAGTGCTTTGCAAATAAAACATTGTGGACTAACTGTACACAGGTGGAAATAATACAAAGTTAGCAAAAAGAGAGATGTGGCAGTACCATTTATGCTGTCACTGCCAAGCTCATCGTCTGCCACTAATTTCAG
Source organism: Homo sapiens (assembly GCF_000001405.40). Classification (NCBI taxonomy): domain Eukaryota; kingdom Metazoa; phylum Chordata; class Mammalia; order Primates; family Hominidae; genus Homo; species Homo sapiens. Next base: position 43,941,788 of record NC_000012.12, on the reverse strand, counting down.
CCATTAGTGTCATTAGAACAAAATGGCAGGTTAACATGACTTGAAATTCATTTGAAGAGAACAATAAAAGTGCTGCAAAATATTAAGTCCAGAACTAGTATGACCCAAGTGTTCAGTCAAATTGTACTATAAAAATTTCCCATAAGCTACTTAAAGGTTAACTCTGTAAGTAACCCTCGAATGTTAGAAACATATACACATAGACTGCCCTCAGCTTACTGTTCTCATGAAGGACTTCTCCCATGCAATGTAATCAGACCAAGAACCTTGGAACTGCCTGAGGATGTCAGATGGAAATACACTGTCTCTGCCCTTTAGGGTGACTATATATGTGGTTTCCCTGGGACAGTAGTGGTTTATAATTGTTGTCCTGGCATAATTATTAATAGTAACCCCTTCCTTTCTTAGGTATGCTGGTTTGGAAAATAAATTATGTGCCACTTTTCCTACAGGTCTATAGGTCCCAGAATTCAGAATTTTATGACTTTCTTTTAGAGGAGTTTCAGGAGACAACCAAGTGACAACAATCCTTACAGGCCAACAGAAGTGAAAACATCACTAAGAGGGATACATTTCTGACATGGCCAAAAACATGACTATTTTAATCACAGATATATGAATATTTGTAAATCTGAGTGTGTATTTATGTTATTAATAAGATCCATCTTGGAGTATATAGACTGTTACCTTCAATACAGTCAAAGAAATTAGAAAATACAGCTTAGAACAATCAAAAGCATTAAAGTGGGACACAAACCTGTATATGTGAAGGAGAGGGTGGGAGGGCACAGGGATTGATGATTATGAATGTTGGCTAAAGTCAGGTGAAATGGCCTAGAACTTCAGAATTTTTTCTGGAAATACAGTAGGTTTAGGATCACTAAGATGTCATAAAATTCTAACAAGATTAATGATATAAAAGCATATTTAAAAGTATATATTATGGGCCAGGTGCAGTGGCTCATGCCTGTAATCCCAGCACTTTGGGAGGCCGAGGCAGGCGGATCACCTGAGGTCAGGAGTTCGAGACCAGCCTGGCTAACATGGTGAAACCCGGTTTCTACTAAAAATACAAAAATATTAGCCAGGCGTGGTGGTGCACGCCTGTAATCCTAGCTACTTGGGAGGCTGAGGCAGGAGAATCACTTGAACCCGGGAGTTGGAGGTTGCAGTGAGCCAAGATCACACCATTGCACTCCAGCTTGCACAACAAGAGCAAAACTCCATCTCAAAAAAAAAAAGTGTATATAAAATGAGCAAACATATGTTGTGGAAAATAGAGGTAGACAACTGTGACAGGGAGAATTATGGAGAAACTACTTGGTTTCTTGGCCTTTTTGCTGCTGTGTTCTCTTCACCAAAAGAATGGAAAGAAGAATTTCCTTTCTACCTCACTGCTAGACTTTTTAAATTGAGAGTTCTAGGTCCCTTTTCTTTAGGAGTGATTTTCACATGGAGCCTGTGCAAAGAAATACACTAAAGAGTCTCAGAGGAGAAGGAGAAGTGTTTGTGTTTCTAGGTAGGAGATGTGGGGAGCCCTACCTCTGGAAGGTTGTTAAAGCAGGGATCAGATAGACCGAGGGCTTCTGGGTTCATAAAGAATACAAGCATTTAGGTCTCCAAGGTGGCAGAGCCTCATTTGGGGATGACTACATGAATGTTGGTCAAGGCCAAGGTATCAAGGGTCATGTTGATACCCAAATCTCACCTTGAATTGTAATAATTCCCAAGTGTTGTAGGAGGGTCCTGGTGAGAGGTAACTGAATCATGGAGGCGAATCTTTCCTGTGCTGTTCTTGTGGTAGTGAATAAGTCTCATGAGAGCTGACGGTTTTATTAATGGGAGTTCCTCTACACAAGCTCTCTCTTGCCTGCTGCCATGCAAGATGTGATTTTGCTCCTCCTTTGCCTTCTGCCATGATTGTGAGGCCTTCCCAGCCATGTGGAATTAAGAGTCGATTAAATCTCTTTCCTTTATAAATTACCCAGTCTTAGGTATATCTTTATTAGCAGAATGAGAACAGACTAATACACATGGCTTTGGAAGTCTGAGTTATCAAACTAAGCTAGTCCCAGGGGAATGGTGCCAGTTAGGGCAGCCACCCACCTCTATTAGGTGCACAATGACCTGAGTAGATCCCAGGCACCTTAGTCTGAGTCATTGTGCCAAAGTGGTAGAAGACCATTACTGAAGTGGCAGTAGGAGAAGGGATGCAGAAGTAAAAACAAGCTAAAGGAGTCTTTTCAGTAACTGTAGCCCTGGAACTCCTATAAAACCTTAGTGATAGAAAAGGTGATGTGAAATATTATTAATATTGTACTCTCTGCTTACCTTGGTAAGCAAAAACTCAGAGTAAGATTTAATTTAGAGGAAAAAGTATGGCATTACACATAAGACCCTGACTAGGAAATATAAAAGGACAAATGAAGGGATTCATTCCTCAAGAGGACTCCAAACTGAAATTAACACTACTGTCCATTAAGTCTTCTGCTCTAAAACCTATATATGATTTGGCCAACCTATATATGATTTGGCCCACCCATATATACAAGAAACAAATAGAATCTGCAGCTACTTAAAGGAGTATATTTGGTTTGTTGGAGTCAAAAGATATAATAGTCAAAAAATCAGCATAGCAGGCATTCCACATACCAGTAATATTCCTGTTGCAAATAACAAAAGCGAAAACAAAAACTAAATTTAAACTAGATTAAATTATAAGGATTCTTTATTGGCTTCCTTCTCACATTTTCTTTTCTTTTTTTATTTTTTATTTTTTTTTTTATTTTGAGACGGAGTCTCACTCTGTCACCCTGACTGGAGTGCAATGGAGCAATCTCGGCTCACTGCAACCTCCACCGCCTGGGCTCAAGTGATTCTCCCGCCTCAGCCTCCCGAGTAGCTGGGATTACAGGCACACGCCACCGTGCCTGGCTAATTTTTGTATTTTTTAGTAGAAATGGGGTTTCACCATGCTGGCCAGGCTGGTCTGGAACTCCTGACCTCAGCTATCCATCCACCTTGGCCTTCCAAAGTGCTGGGATTACAGGCATGAGCCACCATGCCCGGCCCTTCTCACATTTTCCATCTTTTTTTCTCATGTCTGTTCTCTAAACAAAATTTTTGTAGAACTAGTTTAACTAAAGGCATAGAATGACTTCAAGCAAAGCCTGATCCAGCACTCAGATAATATTATCAAGACTTGATTAATCTCTATTTCCCAGCTCCATTTCCTCAGTGTGGCGTCTTATCCTAGCAGGCTCCCACTACTTTCTCCCCCAAGACACATGCACACACCCTTTGTTGTCCCAAGATGACCATAACAACCTGAGGGCTGCTTCTTCATTGTTGTCCATGGATGAAAAGATAACGCTTTTGCCCTAGCACTTCTAGAGAAAATTATGAGATTCATTCTATTCGGGCTCATTTGGGTCCTGAAGCAATTACCCTAGCCAGAGTTATGAAGAGCAATTTAACTAAGCCTTAGGATTAGCTAATATATATATTAAATATAATAAATATATAATATAATATATAATATATAATAATATATAATATAGCCTTGTTGCCCCCAGCCAGACCACTAGGTGGCCCATTACCTCAAACCATCACAACTAGATATGCTGTCCTGCATACCCCAGCCCTCACATGCTCTACCCAGCCCAGCCTGCACACCCTCCCCCTGATGTCAGTTCCTGCACATTGCCTAATAAAAAATCCCTACGGGCTCTTTTCAGGGAGCCAGACAGAGAATTCTTTTACCTCCACTGTCTCCCTTGAGCTTGAGCACAAGCCGCAAAATAAAGCCTTGTCTGGCTAATCTACTTGGCCTTATGTAAATTTCTATTACACGGGAGCCTAAAAGCCTGTGGTCTATAACACTGAGACCCAAAGATATGTATACTTTTTGTCTACTATATGTGTGCTACACCTGTCTATAAACTGTAGCACAGTAGAGACCAGATTGATCTTCTTTACCACTATGTCCTCATGGCATAGTACCTGGCACACAGTATGTCTTAAGTTATTTGTCCAGTGGATTTTAAAAAAAAAGGCTATACAAATAAATGAACAAATAATATTCCACTGTATGGAATCCTATCTTTCTACATCTAGGTCCTATTATAGTTGCCCTCTGAGCCGTTCAGTTCTTTAAGCTGCTCTCCTCCCCAACTTTCTCCCCATCTATAAGCCACCTCCTAAATTCTGTTCCCTCCTATTTGGCGAGAAGCTCCTGCTTCCTTATCAGCCTTTTCATCAACACCACATACATTTCTGTATACCCTATATTTGTCTTACACATCCCCAGCAAACACCCAACTCTGATGTACAGCTACAGTTCGTTTTCTCCAATTTTGACTACTGTGGAAAAAAGTTGCACAACACAGTTGAGAAGCCACTACACAATCATGATCCAGAGTTTAGTTGCTATCACAGCACTGCACATTAATGCATCAATGCCTTTCCCTATCCTTGTCAATTCTCTTTCCTGTTCTCCTTAATATCTATTTCAAATTTCATCTCAAAGCTCCCACTAAGCCCTTTTCACTCTTAGAATATGACTTTGGTCTCAACCTCAAGAAGACATCCTTGTCATCAAACATTATTTTCCCTCAACTTCCTACCTGCTCACATTCATCTACTTATCTACCTTCATGACTATCCTAACTTCCTTCCCTTATTCCTCAAAGGATGGAGCACTCCTCCCAAAGAAGACCCTACCTGTGCCTTTTTAAAACCACACCCCCTCCTCTCTTGGGGGACTTGGTCCAGCCATCCTTTCACTCCTTTGTATATCTGATCTCTCCCTCTCTCCTCATTCTTTTTTCTCCACCTCTGAGGCCTCTTAAGTTGATCCTAAAAACAATGTCCTTGAACTTCCACCCATTCTCCTTGTTTTCTCATCTAGACTTCAAGAAAGAGTAATCTTTATCACACCCACTTACCGAGATCTTACTTGCCATGCAAACATTCCACTGAAGTTGTTCTGGCAAATGCATTGACCTCCACCACTCCCAAATCCGGAATAAATATATTGGTCTTTAACTGGCAAGACATCCTGGCTGCATCTGACCTAACAGTTGTTCTCCGTCTCTTTTGATACTACTTCCTTGGGTTCCCTAACACCAAATATGCCATTCTTTTTCTATTTTCCTGATTTTTCTCAGTCACCATTTTGGGCATCCCTTCTTCCAATTACCCCATAAATAATGATGTGCCATGGTCTGTCCTCAGTCCTTGTCTTCATCATATCACTATATGATCTCATCCTCTCCCATGGTTTCAACATCCCATATCTCCAGTAGAAATTTTTCCTCCTGAGCTTCACACTGGAAGTCAGCTGCCCACTATAGTCTTAGATATCCTACCAGGAAATCAAACTCAGTAGACAAAAACAAAGCCAAAATCCCTACCCTCTGCCCCAACATACAATATGCCACTATTTGCAACTTGACCTATCCCATCCCTAAATCTACTCCTACACACCTTCCATTTCAATCAATTGTCCTATCATTTTATGTCCTTACATCCAAACTCTTCTCTCATAATTTAGGTTCTCACTGTCTTTTGATAAGACCTATTGCGATGCCCTCTTAACTGGCCTGTCTTACTTCAACCTTTTCCATCTCAAATCCATCCACCACAGAGCCAATAGATCTGACTAAAATCCTATGTGGTCAAATCAAGTCACCCCTTCACTTAAAAAAACTTTCAATAATCACAATTCTCCCGTAATATAAAATCCAAGCTCCCTAACATGGTATACAAGGCATGAATTAATTTGACCCATACTTCCCTCTCCTCCCTCACCACTCCCATCCTTTCACTCTGTTTCCATGAACACTAAGCAGTTGCATTTTCTATGCTCATGCTGAACCCTCTGCCTGGGATAACCTTCCTTCCTTCTCCATAACTCAACTAACTGCTCTACTTCCTATAAAGCCTAGAATGCAGGTCAGAAATGATCTCCTCTGGGAAGTTGTCTTCTTTGTTAATATTTTATATCTGGGATTATAGAAAGAGCTTATGGGATGGACTCTCTCAGGAGGTAGTAAGTTCCTTTCAGTGCAGACAAGGAGAAATGGCCATTGCCAAGCATAGTTTAAAGGGCTGGATTACATGACTTTTAAGATCCAGACCAATTCCGAGATTTATGATTTGCTTTGTCAGTGAGAGATTAGCTCAAAATCTGCTATATATATTATCCTTACCCACTAAAAGAAAAAATATTCCTCCTTATATTTTATCTCTCAATGTATGCTTCTCTAATATATAAAATGAACCCGAAGTAACAAACTGATAACATTCTTTAAAGGCCAACTTAATATTTAACATTTTAAATATTAGAATACTTGACAAGAAATGTAATCCCTATTTCTTATGGCTGGAAGAAGAGAATAAAAGATAAAATGAAATTTGATTACAGCAGTTGAAAATTAATTGAAATTCACTTCCGGTCAGACTAAAATAAGTATATTAAGAATTCATCACAAGCTTGTGTAAATTTATAGTTTATAAAAACATGATATGACTATTTTTGTTTAAATTCACTAACTAAAAACTGGTAACAGAAGCCTGGGCAACCTGGCAAAACTCTGTCTCTAATACAAAAAATTAGCCAGGCATGGTGGAGCACCTGTAGTCCCAGCTACTCCAGAGATTGAGGTGGGAGAATCGACTGAGCCCAAGGAGGTTGAGGCTGCAGTGAGCCATGATCATGCCACTGCATTCCAGCCCGGGTGACAGAGTGAGACCTTGCCTCAAACAAAAAAATAAAAAATAAAAAACGGTAACAGAATAAAAATAACTAAAATATGAGAATTATTCCATGAATGGGACATCAACAAAGTTATCTAACAAACTACACCAGAGTATCATTATGGCGGTTAGGATGGTCTAGTTAGACAAACACGGCTTTATATAATAAATGTAAGATGATAAAACTTTTGTACTCTAAGAGTACCATTACATTAATATTCAGATCAAATCTTATTTCAGGGTACAAAGAGAATTTAAAAACATTGAGCAGATGGTTATCATCTCTTATTAGGAATAGGAGCATACTCAAGAAATGTCGGCTATTCACTGAATTTGACAGAATATCAAACACTGAATATTGAGATACAATCTCATATAATACTAACAAAGATTACAATGTGAAATTCAAAAGAGGTTCTATAAAAAAAAGGAAAATAAAAGCATGGTTAGAAACAGCATGAATAATAGTGTGTTCAGATCTAAAGTTTAATGTCAATTTAACTAAAGTTAATGTCAATTTCAAAAGTGTGCATATTAAAATAAATGTTTAGTAAAATTACTAAATAAACACATGTTGACATAAATTAGTCTCAGTAACACAGTAATAAACCTTCCATTTGAGAGAGTCTGAATATTATATTTTACTATTACTATTTGGCTCTTTCCATTAAACTATCCTCAAGTTTAACTAAATCAAATTGCTTATTGCTCAACATGAAAAAACATGACTCCAAGAGGAAATAAAGGTATTCATTTATTAGAATCTATTAGTTTTCCTTTTAAGGAAAAGTTAGCCATCAAATAAAAAGAATGCTATATTAATACTACATATTACCTTGTAGCCCAAGGTAAAATTTATCAGCACACTTAATTTATGCATACATATATTATGTTCTCTAATTTTGACGGAATCAATTTGGCCTATATTTTACTACTAAGTGAAATTATATCAAATAGCATTTTTAAGGTCAAAACCCACCAAACATCAGCAATTTGATATCACTTAACTTAATATGACATAACTAGCTATAATAGGTTTAAAATAATTATATTAGAAACATTATTTCAACATTTAATAATCAAAATTCTTTGAATCCATTTTTATAATTCAAGTAAAAGTAAACAAAATATTTCCTGAACCATTAGAGATTGTCACTATTGAAATTCTGGGCCGGGAGTGGTGGCTCACGCCTGCAATCCCAGCACTTTGTGAGGCTGAAGCCGGCGGATCACAAGGTCAAGAGTTTGAGACCATCCTGGCCAACACAGTGAAACCCCGTCTCTACTAAAAATACAAAAATTAGCTGGGTGTGGTGGCACGCGCCTGTACTCCCAGCTACTCGGGAGGCTGAGGCAGAAGAATAGCTTGAACCCGGAGGCAGAGGTTGCAGTGAGCCGAGATCACATCACTGAATCCCAGCCTGGCGACAGAGTGAGACTCCATCTCAATAAAAAAAGGAAATTCTGTATTTTGAAATGGGCAATGAGATAGAAAGTATAGTTCCCAATTGTTAAAAATTAGTATTACTGGGCTGGCACAGTGGCTCACGCCTGTAATCCCAGCACTTTGGAAGGCCGAGGCGGGCAGATCACGAGGTCAGGAGATCGAGACCATCCTGGCAAACACGGTGAAACCCTGTCTCTACTAAAAATACAAAAAAATTAGCCGGGCGAGGTGGCTGGCGCCTGTAGTCCCAGCTACTCGGGAGGCTGAGGCAGGAGAATGGCGTGAACCCTGGGGGGCGGAGCCTGCAGTGAGCCGAGATCGTGCCACTGCACTCCAACCTGGGCGACAGTAAGACTCCGTCTCGAAAAAAAAAAAAAAAGTTAATATTACTACCATTATTAAATTCTTACATCTTCATCATTATACTGATACCAATATTAAAAAACAAGAATACTTAACGATTTTAAATAGGTTTTCCTTTAACTTCAGGCATTATATTAATGCAATTAAGAAGGAAAAGTTAAATTGTCAAGAATAGTCCCCTGAAGGCTGATTTCCATGGTCTTAAGCAATCTTGATCAATCACAAGGGGTGGATGCCAAGGCCAAGATTCTGCCATGTCATCCACATTTACAGTATTGCTATTATTTGTACCTATGCATTCAGATCTCTCTGACTCTCCCTTTTATCCTGAATTTGATTTTCATTCACGACTTTCCACAAGTCCTCTAAGTCTTTCAGACTGGTGTCTTGTACCTGCAAATGTGCTATTGTCTCTACCCATTCCATTTATAGATTTACTAAAATATATTAATAATTCATAAGATACAAGTTTAAATGACAGATTAGGAGTATCATAGACAGGTGTTAATTTTAAGTTGCTATGCTTTTTAATCCCTTAGTAATATCCAAGAATAATGTATTTCAACTCCTTTGATTAATAAATGAGAAAGCTGAGGTGTAAGTAGCTCAAATAACCCACCAATAGTCACACAACAGTTTGAAGGCAGAGTCCAGGACTCTTTTGATGTACTTTAAGGTGAGTTAGGACAAATCTATCAATCATTATTTCTTTTAAGCCAAGCGTAAAGATCTTTCAGACAATTCTCCAATAACTATCCAAGCCCAAGTTAAAGTAGAATCAAAAGAACAGGATGCAGGAATCACTTTGGTGATCACCATCAAAAAGGGTATTTGAAAGGTGTTCAAACAAAAAGTATCCAGTTCTGAAAAAAAAAAAAAAAAACTTATTTAATGAAATCAAAGCAAAGTAAATCTGACTACCAAAGAATTTTTATTAAAAATATAAGTTATTTTATATAAATTATTATATGAGGTAGTCATTTTCTCTATTTTATCTAGACTCCTAAGATTTAAAAAATCTAGAAATAAACAATATAATTTTAAACACCATAGGCTTTTGTATTAATGATAGTAACTCATATGGCAAATTCTTAATTCTAACTATGAGCCTGGCCAGTGCTGTGTACTGTAAATATGATGGTAAATACGGGAAACACAACAAACATAGATTTTCATGCACATCAAAAGGGCTAGAGGCAAGAAGAGTCAGCTAAAATTTAAAGAGTACCAGTAAGCAAACTTAAAATCTAGACTTACTTTCAGACCAAACGCCCATAAAAACACTGAGAAAATAAAAGTGTAAGCTCAAGGACACTGCAAGGTGGAGATGCCAAGCCTGGGTCTCCCAGAATAAATCAGGACCCTTCAAAGAATGTAAAGTTGTCCTTAAACTATTGTATCTCTTGGATTCCAAATTTGGCAAATGTGAATACTCTCTAGAGAAAAACAAGCTTTATTTAAATCCTCAGAATTCAGATAGATTATATTATTAAAATATGAGTTCAAAGTAAAAATTCACTAAACTCAAAAAGAAGTGCTACCATGAGTGAGAGTTGATAGAAATAGCAAATAAAACTTTAGACAATACAAGAACTTTAAATATTGAAATTACCAAATGTAAAATATTTGAAATCTGTTGTGTCTCAATTTACACACGGGCATTTCTCTACCCTCTGAAACATATGGAACATAGTTATAATTTTTGATATCATTGTTACTAACTATATCAACAGTATCATTCCCGGGCTCTTCTTTTGACTTATTTTTCTTCTGGATTATGGGTCATATTTTACTGCATCTTTGTGTGTCTAGTAATTTTTGATTGGATGCCAGACATTGTGAATTTTCACTTTATTGGGTGCAGGATATTTTTGTATGCCTATAAGTACTCTTGAGTTTTGTTCTTGGATGCATTTAAATTACTTGGAAATAGTTTGATGCTACTGAATATTTCTATTAAACTTTATTAGGCAGCAGAAGCCCTCAGGTTAATTTTGCCCCACTTCCACCATTCTGACTACTCTACCTGATGGCAAATAAATGACAAGGTTTTGTGTTTTTGCCTTGTAGGGACACAAACTATTCTTAGTCCTGTGTGAGCTCTAAGAATTTTTCCTGTGTTCCTTTTGAGTGATACTTTCCCCAGCTTGGGGTGGGTTCTCACATCCCTGTGGTGATCATTACTCAGTGAAGAGTCAAGAGGCATCTTCAGATTTCTAGGGTTATTCCTCTGTGCTCTCTTTTTCACTCTGGTACTCTGACATATGAAATAGCTGTTTTGGCCTCCCCACACACCCAGCTCTATCTCTTCCATTCAGGAAGACCCTGGCCTCTGCCTGATTTCCTCCTTCCTGCAATGAGGCCAAAAAACTCTCCAGGAAGTAAGCTGTAGTAACTGCAGGGCTTATTTATCTTAAAAGACAAAAAAGATCTTAAAATCAGACAATAATAAAGGCAGATTATTTGAAAGGAACAATAATTATACTGATTTCTTCCCAACAGCAACAACGGATGTCATAAGACAGTGCCTCAAACTGCTAAGAGGAAATAACTATCAATCTATAGCTGTGTACCTAGCAAGTGTATTTATCATAATGAAGGCCACTGTTTGAAGGCATCAAAAAGCAAGCAAGGCAGGCAAGACTTGAAAGGCCAAGATCACTAAGGAAAGAAAATGCACTTAGATGAGCCAAATTTATTGCATCTTTTTCCCCTTGGGAGATTTGCTGATTTTCAGTGTCATAGGGACCATATGGAAAACTGTGGCTTAGAGCTTGAGGCAGTGTCACTGGGCCAGAGATAAAAATTGAAATTCATGTCCACAAATGCAATCAGGACATGAGGGAACAAAATACCAGAAAAAATAAGGAAACTCAGGAAATGACCCGAAATTCTAACACAATTTCCCATAGATCATTTGCTGACACCTACTAAACTATGTAGGTGAGGTAAGATCAAGCATAGAACTGCTGATAAGCAAAAAAAACTAAGCATAAATTTTAGTCTCATGATGCTGAGTAAACAAAAATTAGAATTCAGGGAACATCAAAGTAGAAGAATTATGGGCAGAGTTCAGGCTTTAGGATGTGATATATGAAAGGCAATATCATAGGAGTAAGGACAAATCAGAAACAGATCAAACCAAAGAAAGCCTGAACCCAGTATCTACAGACCAGAAGAAAATAAAATTTTCTCTAGGGAAGATTGTATCATCATGAACCTCTACAATTCTTTAGATATTATCTCTAATATTCAATTTTTTAAATTAGGCACATAAAGAAACAAGACATAAAAAAATTACTGAAAAGCAGGGGAAAAAATTGATAACATAAGCAGACTCAGTGATGGTGCAAAGATTGGCATTATAACGTAGAAGTCAGAAAACTGCAATTAGCATGTTCAAAGAAATATATAAAAAGATTATGAATTTTACCAAAGAAATAACCAATGGATAGATTTAATAGCTGTTAAATATGCACATAATATATTATTCCATTTATATAAATTTCTAGAAAATGCAAATAAACAGTGATTGTGTGAATGTATGGAAGGATAAGAGAAGCAGGTTACAAAAGCTCACACAGACATGGTTATCCTGACTGTCATGGTGGTTTTACAGTTATATACATATGTCAAAAACTTACAAAACTGTATACTTAAGTATATGAAGTTTGTTATATGTCAATTATACCTCAATAATGCTGTTAAAGATGTGGAATTTCAGTTTATGACAAAAATAAGCTACAAGGCAGAAGGGGTCAATAAAGTTAAGTGCTATAAGGTTCTTGGAAATTGTTGGCAATATTAATTAAAGGTAGGCTTTAATGTCAATTATGTGTGTTTTACTCTTTAGGGTAATCACTAAATGAATAAAAGTATGTGTAATTAATAAGGTAGTATAGTAGTAATAATAAAATATTAAAAATATTTTATTTATCCAAAGCAAAGCAAAAAGGAGTAAAGAACTAAAGACAGAAGGTAAATAAAAAACTAGCATGGTTTACACTGTTGGTGGGACTGTAAACTAGTTCAACCATTGTGGAAATCAGTGTGGCCATTCCTCAGGGATCTAGAACTAGAAATACCATTTGACCCAGCCATCCCATTACTGGGTATATACCCAAAGGACTATAAATCATGCTGCTATAAAGACACATGCACACATATGTTTATTGTGGCACTATTCACAATAGCAAAGACTTGGAACCAACCCAAATGTCCAACAATGATAGACTGGATTAAGAAAATGTGGCACATATACACCATGGAATACTATGCAGCCATAAAAAATGATGAGTTCATGTCCTTTATAGGGACATGGATGAAATTGGAAATCATTATTCTCAGTAAACTATCGCAAGAACAAAAAACCAAACACCGCATATTCTCACTCATAGGTGGGAATTGAACAATGAGAACACATGGACACAGGAAGGGGAACATCACATTCTGGGGACTGTTGTGGGGTGGGGGGAGGGGGGAGGGATAGCATTGGGAGATATACCTAATGCTAGATGACGAGTTAGTGGGTGCAGCGCACCAGCATGGCACATGTATACATATGTAACTAACCTGCGCATTGTGCACATGTACCCTAAAACTTAAAGTATAATAATAAAAAATAAATAAATAAATAAAACTAGCATGGTAAAGTGATATATTTAAATGCAAATATTTGATAGTTATGTAAGTACAAATGGACTAAATACTCCACTAAAAGACATTTGTCACAGGATTTTAAAAATGAAAAAAACAAAAAGCAAAAACTGAGAGAGTATACCTCCTATATACCTTCATTTAAAAGTACTTCAAGGAGAATGAACCTAATTCCAGAGGTGATCTCAGAAGACATATCTGAGGCAAAAAGAAATGGTGATAAACTAGTAAGTAATGTATCAAATCTAGACAAACATTATTTATATAAAATAATAAAAATATTAACATCTACTTTGTGGAGTTGAACCAAAAAAAGAACTAGAACCCTGAACAGCAATCGCATGGAAGTAAGAAGAGGTTGATTACAGTTAAAACGTTCTAGAGAACTTTTATTATTTAGCAGGTGATTAAGATATTGATCAGCTTTAGAATAGCTAGCTTTTTAAATATACATAGTAAAGTATCAAGGGTAGCCACTAAAATAGTAGATATTTAATACATAATTTCTAAACCTAGTAGAGGAGTGAAGGAGGGATAGAAAGAGAAAAAGAATAAACAAAATTCACTCTGTGCAAAAAAAAAGGGAAAAAAGAAAGAAGGAAAAGCTGTGCTAACAGAAAACACAAAAAAACTTGGCAGAATCAAGTCCTAATATAAATTCAATATATTGATCTTGCCAGTTAAAAGACAATAATTGTTAGATAGAAGATAGAAAACTGAGAGCAAAACAAATCCAAAGATGTGTGTTTGCAAGAGATATGACTAAGAATGCAGAAGTGTTGGAAGTAATAGGCTGTAAAATTATATACCAGATAAAACTAACAAAAAGAAAGCTAGAATATGTATTAGTTTCAGACAACATGGATTTTAAGTTAAAAAACAATGTTAGGAATAAAGAGAATCATTACATAATAACAAATAATAAATTCTCCAGGTAAATAGAATGATTTTAAAATTGATCAATGAGATAGATTATATAAATAAGATAGATTCAAAATACTGTATGTAAAACAAAATCAGATAAACTACAGGAAGGAATTTAAAAATCTATAATCAGTGTGAGATGTTAGCATTCCTCTCTCATTTAATAAGTCATGCAAACCAAAAAAAAAACCAAAAACAAAAAAAATTAACAAAGATATAGTATATTTAAATACTACAATTAAAACTTGATTTAATGGACTTCATATTGAACCCTGCATGCAACAATTAGAGAACACATATTCTCTTCCAACATGCATTGGAAGCTTTAAAATTGACAAAACAAACCTCAGTGAAGCTCAAAGATTAGATATCACACAGACCACATTTCCAAACAAATGTAATCAATTAGAAATTAGTAACAAAATGTTAAATAATTTTTATACCTCATACTTCAGAATTTAAAAACACATTTCAAAATAATTCATGAATAAAACAAAAATCCCAATGGAGATTAAGAAACATTATCAAGAGACTACATTTCAAACTTTTGGAATGCAACAAAAATAGTTGAAAATAGGAAACTTAGTCTTCAATTGTTTAGATTATAAAAGGCTGAATATCTATAAGCTATATATCCAACTTAAGAAGAAAAATAACACAAGGTAATAAACTCATAGAAAGCAAAAGAAAGTTGATATTAAAAGATACGAAAAAATAATTAAGTCAAAGGCAAAAATAAAATATAGAGGATCAATGAAGCCAAAAACATTAAAGTTTTATAAAACCAACAAATCTCTTACTAGACTGATGAAGAAAAAAGAGATAAGGTAATAAAAGTATTAGAAATGAAAAACTACAAACATAGATAGCAGAGATAAAAAATGGATAAATACCTTGATAAAGATATTATTTGCCAAAATGATTAAAGAAGTATGAAACCTGAGTTATTCTATTACTAAAAAATATTCTGTTCAGTAGTGCAAGCACCTTTCGGTAAAGAGAACACCATGTCTAAATGGTTTGAGAGAGGAGTTCTTTCACAAACATTCAAGTAACAATTAATTCCAATATTTCATAAACTCTTCTTCCCTAAGATTTTATAATTCACTTAAAAAATCAAATTTAAAAGGGTAGATATTTATAAGAATGACTAATGTGAATTTAAATCTGAAATTCCGATGTAAACATTTATTTTTTTCTCAGACTATATTCCCTAGCTTATGAAAATGTTTATCAGAAGAC
The DNA here is from genome assembly GCF_000001405.40 of Homo sapiens. Lineage (NCBI taxonomy): Eukaryota > Metazoa > Chordata > Mammalia > Primates > Hominidae > Homo > Homo sapiens. The sequence goes on along the minus strand of NC_000012.12, from coordinate 43,926,397 downwards.
TTTAAGCAATGTAACTACTGGATTTTACAAAGAGGAGCAGTAAGCTGATTGGAAGAGAGGAGAAGAGTGTTGAATCTACAGTTGCATAGCACTTCACTTTATATAAGGGAGAACAAATCAATTATCCATTAATGGAAAGGATATGCCAGCCAATGTTTTAGGACTAAAGCACCCTGGTGCTTCTACTGATTTCAGGTAAGAATTTCACTGCCAATTTTGAATTGAATTATTCTATTAAAGTACAAAAGTTCCTTGACAGATGTATGCAACGAATAACTTCAAGATATATAAGACCAAAATTTAGATATATACTGAATTTTTCTAAACATATATTTAATTAGCATACAGATTAACCTCAAACATTATTTATGCAGCTACTAATGGCACTGGGGATATGTATGTTTAATATGTTCTGTGTTGCACATACATGGCAAGTGGCTAGTTTGAGCTTAAAGCTGGGACCCAGACTGGCTTGCTAAACTGAAAGCAAAGAATTCCAATCATTTCAATAGTCTACTTTCCGACTAAATGTCAAATGAAATAGGCAACACAACATTGCATCTGAAGCACATGATGGTACACGAGGGTCAAGCTCAGCCCATGGATCCTGGTCTAAGCCCCACCAGATATAGAAGCACACTATCTTGTACTAGGGGATAAATATATATAATTCATAGGTAGAAAAGGTAACATTTTTTCCACTTCTGGGTGGAAATAAGCACAGGTTTTTAAATAGGAAGGATTTCACGTAATTCACCTTCATTTTAGCAGCCTGGGGGCTTATAAATGTGGAAACCCTGGGAAACCATACCATTGGCATGGATGACTGACGAGGTGGAGTCCTAAAGCCCGCAGCTGTGGCGGAGCACTAGCCTCCACCAGCCTCCGGCAAGTCAACATCAATAGAGGGCACAGAACAGAATATGACAGACGACTTTATAAGCCCATATGATACACTCAGAGATAAGAAATAAATGTTTGAGATTTTAAATAAAATTAGAAATTGGAGGTTACAAAGAGTCAGTGAAATTGGGTTGCACATATAATAAATGTGACCATTTAACCCAATTCAATACTTTTAACAAAAAAAAAAAAATTTTTTTTGGCAAGTGTGGTAGCCAGCCTACAAGATGGCCCTCAATGAGTCTCACCTCTGGCTAGACACCCCCACACACACTGAATTATGCCTTCCCTGTGTGACCAACAGAATATGGTTGAAATGACATGAGGAACTTCCAAGGGTAGGTTGTGAAAGTTATCGTAGTTTCCACCGTGGTCCCTCTCTCGAGTTGCTGTCTCTGGAGGAAATCAACTATTACGGCACGAGGACAATCAAGTTGCCCTATGAAAAATTCCACTTGAGGAACTGAGGGATCCAGCAAACAGCTAGCACCAACCTGCCATCCATTTGAGAGAACATCTTCCATCCATCTTAGAAGGTAACTTTCCAGTCAAGCCTTCGGATGACTATAGCTCTGGCTGATATAGTCACAACAACCTCATGAGAGATCCCAAGCCAGAACCAGCCAACCTGCTCCCAAACTCCTCACGCACAGAAACTATGAGAAAACAAATGTTTATTCTTGTTTTAAGCCACTGAGTTTTGGATGTGTTTGTTACACAGCAATAAATAACTTTGTGCTCTATAATTATTCTGAAAATGAATAAGAGCCACTTGAGAACTTGAAGCATGGAAATAACATGCTAAAAATGTAATATGATAATGCAATTTTTATGAGGAGAGATGTGAGATCACAAACTAGAAATAAAGTACAATATTCATAGGGTAAATATGTATTTTACATTATTAAAATGTTTGACATTTTATTAAGACAGAGCAAAAGAACATTTGTGAAAATAACCTTCACAGCACGAAATACTTGAAATAATTAAATAATTTCAAAGGGCAACTTTTATGTAGTAAATGTCAGTAATGGCATTTTTTATCTCTACTGTAATTCACATAATGTATCATATTTTCTTACCATATTTTATATCCTTTCAGTCAGAATGTTGATGTCTATATTGACAATAAAATAATAGACAAAGGAGTTATTTTATATGACCAGTGTCTACGCAAACAATGAATAATAAAGCACTATAATTTAAATGCTTAGGGTTCTTTCATCTTTAAGAATTCAGGCAATATTCCTCCCAAGTTTTAATCTACTGAGATTTGTAACTTGTCTCAGTTATAGAAAGAATAGACAAGGAGCCACACCACACTCTGGAGAGCCAAGAAACTGTATTTACAGAAAAGAGATTAGTATATAAAACCCATTAAGATTCACAGTGCCATTTTTTGTTTGAAATCCCACTCCTACAGAATTCATTATTTTATTTGGTTCCTATTTAACAGGCATTTATATAGTGCTGTGTTCTAGGCTCTGTGTTTTATTAAAGAGTAATTTACTTAGCCACTATTCTAACACTTGATGGTCATAACAATATTTAATATCTATATAGTATAAATTGTGTTTCCTTCCTGAACTTCACAAATAAATCTATGAATTAAACACTGCTGACTATTACTGACATTTATTTTTCTACATATAAGGACATGAAAAATCTGTGGTTAGAATATTAGTATATTACTCAATACTTTCCATTTCCAGCATCGTCTGTACTCAATGGTTTTACATGACTCTGTAAAAAGAAATTGATAATTTTTATTGTACACTAACTTGAAATTATGACAGAAAATTATCTTATATATTTTTACTTAACCAAATATGCAAACCTCCAACTTCAGAGAGATTAGTAGGAAAGTCTTTCCAAATATAATATCATTTGAATTAGCCTCTTGTACAGTCTTAGAAATAGTTATCCATTAGTGCCTGGAAGAAGTAATAACGTGATGAGTTTGTGATGAAAAATACTGACTCATTGTAACACACTATATTCTACTGTGGTTCATCATTAACACATAAGATAAAACAGGGATACCTGTTATAGGAGTATTGTCACATTTGTGAAACTGAAAAATGTGTGACCAGATGCCACCCTGGTCTGTACATCTAACAAATGAAAAATCATTTTTAGGTAGCTATTAAATGCAAAGCATTACTTGAAATCTTGACTGTTCCTTTTAACAAATATGTTGGGATAAATCCACTATAATGGGCCACCTCATTTTTTCTACCAACTAGATTACACAAGAGGATTGGCCCTATTATGTGGAATGTCTATTCCCTAGTCCTAGGTGTTTCCTTCCAGATAAAGAACGGCCCACTCTCCACTTCCAGGGGAGAAGCAACATATCTGATAGACCATTTTGAAAGAATAAATTTGGCATATATAAGTCAACATCTTTTCTCTAGAGACCAAATCTCTCCTGGCAGCACTCCAAATTCTGCTCTGCTCCTCCAGCAGAGGTGTGTCCAACCTAGTATTGTCAGGGACTAGGGAAATCTATTTAATTTTGGAGTTTAGTATTGGGAAGTCCCATGCCTGCAGATTCTCCAGTATACAGTCTTTTAGGAATAAAGGTGATATTTTGGTAACCACAGGCTTTATTTCTGTCTTATTTCTTTCTATATTTAAAACATAGGCTGAGAAAAGGGGTACTTCTTCTTGGGCCTCCTAAGGGACTTAAAAACATCAGTGGTGAGAAGAAACAAATAGTCTACAAAATGATCAAAGACAACCACCCCAGACACTAACCAGCATTTTCATGAGTTCCAACTTTCATTCTCTTGCAAACTACCTATGTTGTGTGAAGTTACAATGAAGAGATTCAAATAACTTAATCAAGTGTAAAGTTAGCAAACTATAACATGTTTAACCAAACCTCAAAGCAAAGGTGATTTTAGCCATCAACAGACCTGAGAAGCCAAACGGAACGCCCTAATGAGGCTAAGTCATGCTAACATAAAATCCAAATTTACCAAATGTGTCACTCTATTGTAATGCTTTTGCCTTACAAAAGCACATAAATATTTACATTATTCCATATAATTAAACCAAAAGCACAAATAAGGGCTACATTTACCTATATGTTAATTTCATATAACATTCTCCTTTCTTTCACTAAGTCACCAGGGATGGTTTATTTCTTAATGTATCCTTAAATTCAATTTTTAAAAACCTAGAAATAATTACAATTCAATTACTGCTCCAATTTCTAATGTTATATCCCTTTCTATTTAGAGAACCCACTGCACGCGTATTGCCTTCTAATACCAAGAAAGAGAGAGAGAGACAGAGACAGAGAGAAGCAGAGACAGAAAGAGAGACCACACAAGTGTTAAGAGAAACCACAGTTTGTAAGACATATCTGACTCACTAGTTAAATCCAAGGAGTCCTTATTGTGCTTTTTTGCTGGTTCTACTGACAAGAAGGCACCCTAAGGTGGGCAATTTACATGGAGGTTTAATTTGGAGAAAGAAGCTTTAGGACTTTTATGGTAGAGTTCAGGAAGAAAGTCCACTTTTAGAGGTTGACAGTGGACATTTGGGACACCTGGTAATAATTAGAAAGCTGCCAAACAGAAGTAGCAATGGAGAAGTCACCAACATGGAGTCAGTGGAATGGAAAGAATGTCAGCTGAGCAAATGGGGGAATGCATTTATTCAATGAATATTCATTGAGTGACTCTCTATGCAGAACCTAACCTTAACTGCAGCTGTGAACATAAAAACTTTTCCTTCCCTCAGGAAACTTGATATTTAGTTGAGAAGATGAGATACATAGAAACGAAAAGGTAAATAGCATTAAAACAAAATGTGATTAACAGTGGAGTTGTATAACAAATTTAATATATGAGAATAGAGAAAATCAGAAGGAAGAAAGAGAAGGTAGAACCAATAAAACTTACTGAGCTCTTCTTTGCAAAGGTCTTTCACATAATACTTCAAATCTCAAAATAAGCAACTAAGTATAATTGCTCCCATTTTGTAGATGAGAGAGTAGAAGCTCAGAGAGATTACTTGATTTCTCTAAGGTCATACAGCTAGCAAGTGGGATATCTAGGATTTAAATCTAGATCTATCAGACTCCAAATCTTATTCTCTCTCTACCAGATACTAACTAAAAAAATGTAAAGGAAACTGAACACTGGAAAACAAGCAAAACACTTTCCTTCATCCACCAAATATTAATTGACTCTCTGTTTGAGTATATGCATGTTCTGGGGAAAAATAATCAGAAAGAAAAATATTTTTCTACATTTTTGAAGCTTCTAGGCTAGAGACGGGTGGGTAGATAGATAAGACAGATAGAGACAAACCAACAAATAATGCAAAGCTTAGTAAGAAAAGTACCAAAGAAAAATGAGAAAATGCCATGGGCTCAGATAAGAAAAGATCACATTATTTTAAGAGCATCAATAGGGCCACATTAGGAAACACAGAAGGGTAGACAAGTTTATAAGAACGGGAACAAGCTACTCCAGATATAAATGATAAGTAAAAGCGTAGAAGTGGAAAGCACAATGCAGATCAAGGACTAACAAAAAGCAGGAGTGTGACTGAAGTGTAAGATACAGGGAGGGAACCACAGGAGGGTGACAGACTTCAAATATCTGGCTAAGATATTATACTTAATTTTGAGCATAACAAATAACTAGATTGTCAAGCAGAGAAGAGATACTCTCTGAATTATCCTTTACAGGAAGTAATCCACATTTTAAAGGATGGATTTTAAAATGCTACTGAAATAGTACAGTAAAAAGCAATTTAGAGCCAGGTGTGGTGGTGCACCTATGGTGCCAGCTACTCAGGAGGCTGAGGCAGAGGGATCACTCCTTGAGCCCCAGGAGTTTGAGGCTGCAGTGAGTTGTGATCATGCCACTCCACTCCAGCCTGGGCAAAATAGTGAGATCCTGTCAAAAAAAAAAAAAAAAAAAAAGGCCCTCTAGGTTTGAACTGGTATGACAAAAAGTCATTTTTTTGAGTCTCAGTCTGTCACCCAGGCTGGAGTGTAGTGGTGTGATCTCGGCTCACTGCAACCTCCGCCTCCCGGGTTCAAGTGATTCTCCTGCCTCAGCCTCCAGAGTAGCTTGGACTACAGGTGCCTGCCACCACGCCCGGCTAATTTTTTGTATTTTTAGTAGAGACAGGGTTTCACCGTGGTCTTGATCTTCTGACCTCGTGATCCGCCCGCCTCGGCATCCCAAAGTGCTGGGATTATAGGCGTGAGCCACCATGCCTGACCAACAAAAAGTAATTTTTAAAGAGAGGAGTGCAAAGACGTTTTAGAGATAAAATCTATAAAATTTGGTAGCTGTTATCCTGTTGAGTGTAAGGAGAGAGAGGTCAGAGAGCAACTTCAGTGTTTCAAACTCAGGAAACTGGGGAAATGGTAAAGCCAGTAAAAAAGGAGAGGTTGCAGAGATTAACTATTGACATGGGTTGTGCCACAGGGAGAAGATTGAATCTGGATTTCCATTAAAGTAACAGAATGAAGAGGTCCTAAAGAGAGATGAAAATATCATGAGTGATGCTGGACCTAGAGATATAAATACGAATTGCATCAATTTAGAGCTGATCAGTCAATTCTTGAGAATAAAGTCACCAAAAGAAAGAACATGAAAATCAAAACCACAATGAGATATCACCTCACACTTGTCAGAATGGCAATTAACAACAACAACAAAAAGTGTTGGAAAGGATGTGGAGAAACTGGAATCCTTACACACTACTGATGAGAATAAAAAATGGTGCTGCCACTGTGTCAGTGTGGAGGTTTCTCAAAAAATTAAAAATAGATACCATATGACCTAGCTATTGAATTTCTGGATATTTATCCAAAAGAACTGAAATCAGGATCTCAAAGTGATATCTGCATCCCCATGTTCACTGCAGTTTCAACAGCCAAGCTATATAAACAAGCTAAATGTCCATAGACAGAGAAATTGATACGATAAATTGATAAAGAAAATGTGGAATATATACACACAATGATATAGTATTCAGCCTTAATAAAGAAGGAAGTCCTGCCATATGAGACAGCATGGATGAACCTTCAGGACATTATGCCAGGTGAAACAAGCCAGTCACAGGACAAAGACAGCATGATTCCACTTATATGAAGTATCTACAACAGTCAAATGCACAGAACAGAGAGTACAAGGGTGGTTGTCTGGTTCTGGACGGGGAAATAGAGAAATACTAATCAACGGGCATAAAGTTCCAGTTAAACAACTATGAATCAGCCCTAGACATCTGCTGTACAACGCTATACCTAGAGTCAACAATAACGTATTGTACACTTACAAATTTGTTAAAGAGGGTATACTTCATGTCCAGTGTTATTACCATAATAAAATAAAATTTTTAAAAAGAGAGTGGATGCATGCAATGAGGAGAAAAGGAGAAGAAAGAATGCAGGGCTGGAGATACAACACCGAAGTTTTTGAACTAGGGAAGCAGCTCTCTTATGTGGCTCACTTAATACTTGCAGGAAACTGGAAATTAAAGAAGAGCCGATAAAGGAGACCAAAAAAGCAGAGTATATAGTAGATAATTTTCATTATGGAAATCAAATGAGAAAACTTCAAGTGCAGTTACAGTATCAAATTGTACAGAGATTAGAGAATTAAGACAGAAAAGTGGATTTGGTATGTGATGGTCAATTGAGACTGAAGAAAGTATTTTCAGAGGCATGGTGAGAATATTAAAATGCTTTTGAGTGTTGGTAAGGCAGACAGCTGTGGAACTCAGTAGCATGCAGGATAATTCCCAGTGTTCAAGAGGCAGGCATAGAGCTAAGGGCTAACAAGACCCACTGGAAGCGTCTGTACGAAGGAAGCATCAAATTAATGTTTTTTAAAAAAGGAAAATAAATTCAAAGAAAAGGCCTACAGACAAGCAAGCATGTATCTTGAAAAATAATATCAGAAGTAGCTTCTAATTGGTTAATTAACTAAGCAGCTAGACAAAGCTATCCAAAAGAATTAGCATGGTGAAATAACCTTTTGCTTAGGCGGTGATTCTCAGGTGAGACTGGTTGTTAACCTTTGTAAACTTTGCTGTTAACCTTGGCAAGAACTGGGTGACAAGTTAAAAAAGACAAGTCAAAAAAAGTATTCAAAACCCCTGCAAGAGATGTTCTAAAAATGAAACAAAAAATTATGATTGCTGATGACATAAAAATAGCCATCAACTTTAATCAGACTAGACCAGATGGAGCCTGCATATACAAAAAGTGTACTGTCAGTAATTATATTAAGAAAAGAAAAAAAGAACTGTTCCAGGCAATGACAGAATGACGTCCCCCTTGTAACAGTTATAATCACAGCACTCTGCAGGCAGTCTGCAGCACCCTGTAGGCTATATTTTTGTCAAATAATGTGTGTGTCTGACAGTTATGTTCCATCTCAGGCTATGTCCTTGATGATAAGAGTGTTCTCGTGGAGCAGAAATAGAAACTGAAGGATTTCCCTATCTACCAGATAATAGCCCTAGGAAATCAGTCTAACAAACTAGTAAAGATGACTCAATGCCATAGACCAAGTGACTGGAATAGAGATCAAGTCCTTCTATAGAAACCTAAATCAACCTCAACTGGCCAATGTCTAAAAAAGTATAACCCAAGTCTGTGCAAGAGGGTGACAGGACAAGGGGATTGTAAGGTCACTCACTCCAGCTCCCACCTTCTATGAGTTTATAAATCCTCATAAAAATGTTTGCCTTTTGCTTGATAAAAATCTTTAAAAGAATCCTAAAATTAGACACATATAAAAGAATTGGTTTGAAAATTCAGGTAAGAATTATGAACCCCAATATTGCAGCCCAAGATCTTTTAAAAATAAATGTTACTAAAAGCTAAAAATGTTTATGTTTATGATATGCATAATGGGTAAAGGTGAGGGCTTGGGAGACAGATGGCTGAGGCTTAATTCCTGGTTTTGCCACTGCCCACTGGGGTGACAGTTACATAACTTCTCCCTGCTTCTGGTTATATGTAAAATGAGGGTAATAATAGTAACCACTTCATAAGATTGCTGTGAAGATTACATTGTGAATTACATAAACCACTTACTAAAGTGCCCTGACACAGGGCATGCACTCAAGGTGAGTTAGCATTCTTTCTTTGTTTTTAGAGACAAGATCTTGCAGCCTCAAACTACTGAGCTCAAGCGATCCTCCTGCTTTGGCCTCTTGAATAGCTAGGACTACAGGCTCGTGCCACCACAGCACGCCTTTTTTTTTTTTTTTTTTTTTTTGTAGAGATGAGGCTCTCACTATCTTGCCCAGGCTGGTCTTAAACTCCTGGCCTCAAGCAATCTTCCCACCATGGCCTCCAAAAGTGTTGGAATTATAGGCATGAGCCACTCTGCCCAGCCATAGTACTATTATTGTATCACTATATCAATAAATCAGATTTGATCTCTGCATGTAACTCATCACATCTAAAACTGGGCATAGGGAGGCCGTAAATAAATGGTTAAGGTAACTAATGGCTTCAGGTAATCTGATTATGCTCTAGGAGGCTGCAACCTTAACATGGATCTGACTGTAGCAGGGGAGAAGGATGGACCACTGGGAGGAGTAGAGAGGGGAGTCTAGGCTCTAACAGTGAGATTGTTAACATCAGAAAAGAAGCCTAGATCTACTTCACGCCAACAAGAAATCAGATATATCTACCTGGCTTATGTTTAGCCCTTTCAATTCCTAGGATGAAGTAGGAAAACTTTGAGATGCCATTTAATTTTTTAGTCCCAGTAACTGAAGAGAGAACACCATCAGGACTCATCAGTTTCATACTCCAGCAACAGTAATGTAACAACTCTTCATTGTGTTTCTCCTTCTGACAATGTTCAAAGATCTATGGACTAAGACGTTCACATCAGAGTGATATAAGTAGTAAAATAAAGGCAGCATCCTGTGAACATCCTAAATGTTCAACTAAATATGGTGGTACAATAAAGTAATAAAATCATGCAACCATTAAGATGTGCTTATACATGATATTTAATAATCTAGATGGGGTAGAATCATTATAAATATTGAATACACAGAATAAATTCATGTTTTATAAACATATATCCATAAGAAAACTGCCAAAATGTTAATGGTGGTGTTCTCTAGATGACAGATTACTAGAGAATTTTTTCTTCTTTGAACTTTGCTACATTTTCTAAATTCTACACAACGTTCTTGTTTTAGTTTAATAATTTAAACAACATTTTGAAGAAAATAAAGAGGTTACCATGGCTGGCATTAAGTCACTGAAAAATATTAGGCAATGAAGAACAAAGAGGTGGAACAGGGAATCCCTCCCCTCTCTCCATTCCATTTCCCCTTCTAACATTCTCCCTCCATGCCTCCCCTCTTCTGGTGGATTTGAAGGTGGCTCAAAATGTGGCTGGAAAAAGAAGAATAAGTTAGTAGTGACTATGAATTTATCCCCCACTTTTTTCTTGCCCAACCATCACCCTCTCCCTGCCACTATTTACCATAATGGCCACAGCAGTCCTTTTGCTAGATCAGACAAGAGAGTTGTTAGAGTGGGGATGGGAGGTGAGGTTGAGGGGGGTGCTGAAGCTGTAATACCTGCAACAGTGGCAGTGAAATGTGGTCATAGCCTCCCATATTAAAAATAAAAATAAAAAAAGTGTTCCCTTACCCTTGCCTCCTCTAGTTTGAAAACACTACACTCAGTAAACACCACTGGATTTTTTTTTCCTCTTTCTTTCTTTCTTTTTCTTTCTTCACTCCTTCTTTCCTTCTTCCCCTCCTTTCTTTTTCTTCCTCTTTCTTTTTAATAATAGAAACAAGCCTTCTCTATTCTCCTAGGTCTCGCCTGAGCAGGCCTTTAAATTAGACAATTCTAGAGCCAGCAGATAGTCACTGGCCTGGGACTAAGTGCAATAAACCCTTCTGTGACCAAGCAAGAGTACTTAGCTATGCAAAGTTGGTCACTGAAGGGGATGAAGATCAGTTTGTATAAGAAGCACTGATATTTGAAATTAAGGAAAGTTATGGGTGTGGACTGGACAAGGTCAGGTGGTAAGAAAGGGTAATGAAGCTCTAGAAACAAAATAACCTTGAGGCAAGAAGAACTATGACTGATGAACCAGACTCAAGACAGGAAGCCCAAGATCCACAGAGGAGGGTTAACTTCGGTCTGCCCCTCTGTTTCCAGCCACCTGGCACAATGCTTGGATCCTAAGAGGTAATGACTCATGATGGGAATATTAACTGAAGGAGAAGTCTAAAGTGTGGAGCGCCTTTGGTAAATGTCACTGAGGGGTGGCCAAGCCTCCCTCCAAGGGGTATAGGTAAGACCTAGACTTTGAGAACCTGGATGTCTGTATGCCTGGAAAGAACTAACACTCAATACTGAAACCATGTGGAAGCAAAGAAGAAATCGCAGTAACACTGTTTAAACATCAGTGCTTTCCCATGAGGAAAGAAAGCAGCCAGATTTTCCTCTCACAGTATAAGCTTCAGGGGTTCTTGGGTAAATCAAGATGAGAAGAAAATCCCAAGAAGATACTAGGCTTTCTGATATGCAGATGTACAGTGAGTTTTAATATAAATTTGCTGAAGGAGGGGGTACCAGAACTTATACCACCAAATATTACAGAACTATTAATAAATACTACACTATGAACAAAATCAAATACCATCAATCTCTACCCTCTGAAGGTTTCAGCTTCCTCTCCCTTTGATCTCAAAGTTTCCACATACCCAAATGCTTTTTGGTCAGCTCCTCAATCCAAAATTTGATTTATTTCATGAATGAAAGAAAGACAGGAGAATAAAGAGCAGGCACGGCTACCATGAAATCTCACCAATCTGACTGTTCTTTTATATGCAGACGTATCAGTCAGGGACAGTAAAAGTAACCCATTGTTCCCCACTGTCTTTCTCTCCCATCCTCTCTATCATGCATTTAACTGGAGGCTGAAAGCTCCATTGGCAGGGCCTGTGTCTGTCTTGTTCTCCACTGAATTCCCGGCACAGTGTTTGGCACATAGAAGGGGCACCACGAATATTTGTGAAATGAATTAGTTCATTCAATTGCCAGATCAGACTTAGTGCAGGGATAAAGAAGAACAAAATGTGATCACAATCTAGGGGAAGACTGAGGAGCGGGTTCATTAGAGCTAAGTTTCTTAGCAGACCTGCAGGTCTGAGAAAGGAAGAAAGCAGTAATAGAGGGAAGAGAAGCAAAACCAAAGCAGTATCAGAGAAAGTTTAGTAACTCAAGGTTTTCCCCATAGATGAATATTCCTAGTACCAAGCCTTCAAGCACATCCCCTCCCGAAGCTGCTGCATGTCCCCCGACTCTCCCATGCATTGGTATACATGGGGTTATAGCATCACGGTTTCCATTTAATTGATTGAATTTAGCCAAAGACTTCTCCTGTGATACTTTGTCTGCCCTCAGATGCACCAGAGGAAATATGGAAAGGATAAAGCATTTCTATCTTTCACATCTGGGCATTTATACCTGGTATCCCAAAAACATTAACAGAACTAAGTCAATTAAAATACATCAATATAAACGGAAAAGCCCATGAGAACTTTTGTCCTACTTGACATGATATAGTTAATATTTGGTCACGTGTAATACTTCTATTCTCTGTAAACATAAATTTAAAAATAAAACATATCTTATATTCTGCCATGATGAAAGTGAACAAAATGAATAATTAAAATATGCCAAAATTCTCCTTTATTCTTTTATTAAAGCATGTTGTGTGATTCTGTGCCTTGCATAAATCCAGTTTGTATTGATTTTCTAGAGACAATATAATGCATACTGTAAAAGCAACTGTCACACAGTGGCAAAAACAGGAACGACTCATAAACTCAGAGAACACCTGGATGTTAGATTTAAATAGAATGCCAGTTGGACATGGTCTGCTTCTCCTCTCTCTGTCCCCAGTTTCTCTGGGATGTCACTCAGATAGCCCCAGCCCTCTATCAGGCAAAAATAGTCCCTCTCTGTTAGTTCCCTTTCCTTCAGGTAAATGGGATCTTTTATCCCATAACATGATGGGACAGATACTTAATACAAACTTTATTAATCTATATGAATATATATACAGTAAGAAGTTCAAAATATGATTATAAAACAATATGACTTTTTTGTTACTAGACATTGTTTCAAGCAATGTTTATTAAATATGAGGCACTTTCCTGTGGTGAAGAATGAAGCAGATGCAGCAGCTATATTCAAGGATTTAGAGCTTGATAGGTATGCCTTTAAAGCCAGGCTTCCTACCTGGAGTCCAAGGACCCATAGACAGTTCATGAATGAGCTTCCAGAAGCCTACAAATCCCTTAAATAAATGTAGCGTGTTTAAATGTTGGTATGTGCATTTGACAGGGCCATATGTTCAACAGATATCAAATTCTCAAAAGGATTGGTAGCCCTAATGAAGTTAAGAATGACTGCCTTGAGGCTTATAAAGTATTCCACTTCTCAAAACAGTTCCAGATGCTCAAAATATTTTTTTGAACTTTTCCTTTGGAATGTTTCAAAGCCTAGGATAGCTTTTATGAATAATCTCAATAATGACAAGCCTTTCTTGGAGGACTCCAATTTTTAAAGTCATGCAAAAACATGGCAGACAGATACAACAGGAAGATGCCTAAACTGTGTAGTTTATTTTTGGATAAAATGAATATAACTATAAATTAGACTAATTTTCTTGGGGTACATGCATTAAAGGCTACACATATATTAATTGAAAATCACATGGAAAAGCACCAATAAAAACATCAGTACTTTAAGGATAATATTAACCAAGGTGAAAAAAAAGACATATTTCCATTATTTTCATTCATTAAACACATATTTACTGAGTGTGTAATATGTACCAGGCACTCTTAAAAGTGCCAAGGATATAGGAGTTAACAAAACAGATAAAAATCCCTGCCCACATGGAGCTTTCATTCTGCCATATATATATATATATATATATATATATAAATTATTATTATTATACTTTAAGTTTTAGGGTACATGTGCACAACGCGCAGGTTAGTTACATACGTATACATGTGCCATGCTGGTGCACTGCACCCACTAACTCGTCATCTAGCATTAGGTATATCTCCCAATGCTATCCCTGTCCCCTTCCCCCACCCCACAACAGTCCCCAGAGCGTGATGTTCCCCTTCCTGTGTCCATGTGTTCTCATTGTTCAATTCCCACCTATGAGTGAGAATATGCAGTGTTTGGTTTTTTGTTTTTGCGATAGTTTAGTGAGACTGATGATTTCCAATTTCATCCATGTCCCTACAAAGGACATGAACTCATCCTTTTTTATGGCTGCATAGTATTCCATGGTGTATATGTGCCACATTTTCTTAATCCAGTCTATCGTTGTTGGATATTTGGGTTGGTTCCAAGTCTTTGCTATTGTGAATAGTGCCACAATAAACATACGTGTGCATGTGTCTTTATAGCAGCATGATTTATAGTCCTTTGGGTATGTACCCAGTAATGGGATGGCTGGGTCAAATGGTATTTCTAGTTCTAGATCCCTGAGGAATCGCCACACTGACTTCCACAATGGTTGAACTAGTTTACAGTCCCACCAACAGTGTAAAAGTGTTCCTATTTCTCCACAGCCTCTCCAGCACCTGTTCTTTCCTGACTTTTTAATGATTGCCATTCTAACTGGTGTGAAATGGTATCTCACTGTGGTTTTGATTTGAATTTCTCTGATGGCCAGTGATGGTGAGCATTTTTTCATGTGTTTTTTGGCTGCATAAATGTCTTCTTTTGAGAAGTGTCTGTTCATGTCCTTTGCCCACTTTTTGATGGGGTTGTTTGTTTTTTTCTTGTAAATTTGTTTGAGTTCATTGTAGATTCTGGATATTAGCCCTTTGTCAGATGAGTAGCTTGCAAAAATTTTCTCCCATTCTGTAGGTTGCCTGTTCACTCTGATGGTAGTTTCTTTTGCTGTGCAGAAGCTCTTTAGTTTAATTAGATCCCATTTGTCAATTTTGGCTTTTGTTGCCATTGCTTTTGGTGTTTTAGACATGAAGTCCTTGCCCATGCCTATGTCCTGAATGGTAATGCCTAGGTTTTCTTCTAGGGTTTTTATGGTTTTAGGTCTAATGTTTAAGTCTTTAATCCATCTTGAATTGATTTTTGTATAAGGTGTAAGAAAGGGATCCAGTTTCAGCTTTCTACATATGGCTAGCCAGTTTTCCCAGCACCATTTATTAAATAGGGAATCCTTTCCCCATTGCTTGTTTTTGTCAGGTTTGTCAAAGATCAGATAGTTGTAGATATGCGGCGTTATTTCTGAGGGCTCTGTTCTGTTCCATTGATCTATATCTCTGTTTTGGTACCAGTACCATACTGTTTTGGTTACTGTAGCCTTGTAGTATAGTTTGAAGTCAGGTAGTGTGATGCCTCCAGCTTTGTTCTTTTGGCTTAGGATTGACTTGGCGATGCGGGCTCTTTTTTGGTTCCATATGAACTTTAAAGTAGTTTTTTCCAATTCTGTGAAGAAAGTCATTGATAGCTTGATGGGGATGGCATTGAATCTGTAAATTACCTTGGGCAGTATGGCCATTTTCACAATATTGATTCTTCCTACCCATGAGCATGGAATGTTCTTCCATTTGTTTGTATCCTCTTTTATTTCCTTGAGCAGTGGTTTGTAGTTCTCCTTGAAGAGGTCCTTCACATCCCTTGTAAGTTGGATTCCTAGGTATTTTATTCTCTTTGAAGCAATTGTGAATGGGAGTTCACTCATGATTTGGCTCTCTGTTTGTCTGTTGTTGGTGTATAAGAATGCTTGTGATTTTTGTACATTGATTTTGTATCCTGAGACTTTGCTGAAGTTGCTTATCAGCTGAAGGAGATTTTGGGCTGAGACAACGGGGTTTTCTAGATACACAATCATGTCGTCTGCAAACAGGGACAATTTGACTTCCTCTTTTCCTAATTGAATACCCTTTATTTCCTTCTCCTGCCTAATTGCCCTGGCCAGAACTTCCAACACTATGTTGAATAGGAGTGGTGAGAGAGGGCATCCCTGTCTTGTGCCAGTTTTCAAAGGGAATGCTTCCAGTTTTTGCCCATTCAGTATGATATTGGCTGTGGGTTTGTCATAGATAGCTCTTATTATTTTGAAATACGTCCCATCAATACCTAATTTATTGAGAGTTTTTAGCATGAAGGGTTGTTGAATTTTGTCAAAGGCCTTTTCTGCATCTGTTGAGATAATCATGTGGTTTTTGGCTTTGGTTCTGCTTATATGCTGGATTACATTTATTGATTTGCATATATTGAACCAGCCTTGCATCCCAGGGATGAAGCCCACTTGATCATGGTGGATAAGCTTTTTGATGTGCTGCTGGATTCGGTTTGCCAGTATTTTATTGAGGATTTTTGCATCAATGTTCATCAAGGATATTGGTCTAAAATTCTCTTTTTTGGTTGTGTCTCTGCCTGGCTTTGGTATCAGGATGATGCTGGCCTCATAAAATGAGTTAGGGAGGATTCCCTCTTTTTCTATTGATTGGAATAGTTTCAGAAGGAATGGTACCAGTTCCTCCTTGTACCTCTGATAGAATTTGGCTGTGAATCCATCTGGTCCTGGACTCTTTTTCGTTGGTAAGCTATTGATTATTGACACAATTTCAGCTCCTGTTATTGGTCTATTCAGAGATTCAACTTCTTCCTGGTTTAGTCTTGGGAGAGTGTATGTGTCGAGGAATTTATCCATTTCTTCTAGATTTTCTAGTTTATTTGCGTAGAGGTGTTTGTAGTATTCTCCGATGGTAGTTTGCATTTCTGTGGGAGCAGTGGTGATATCTCCTTTATCATTTTTTATTGCATCTATTTGATTCTTCTTTTTTTCTTTATTAGTCTTGCTAGCGGTCTATCAATTTTGTTGATCCTTTCAAAAAACCAGCTCCTGGATTCATTAATTTTTTGAAGGGTTTTTTGTGTCTCTATTTCCTTCAGTTCTGCTCTGATTTTAGCTATTTCTTGCCTTCTGCTAGCTTTTGAATGTGTTTGCCCCTGCTTTTCTAGTTCTTTTAATTGTGATGTTAGGGTGTCAATTTTGGATCTTTCCTGCTTTCTCTTGTGGGCATTTAGTGCTATAAATTTCCCTCTACACACTGCTTTGAATGCGTCCCAGAGATTCTGGTATGTTGTGTCTTTGCTCTTGTTGGTTTCAAAGAACATCTTTATTTCTGCCTTCATTTCGTTATGTACCCAGTAGTCATTCCGGAGCAGGTTGTTCAGTTTCCATGTAGTTGAGCGGCTTTGAGTGAGATTCTTAATCCTGAGTTCTAGTTTGATTGCACTATGGTCTGAGAGATAGTTTGTTGTAATTTCTGTTCTTTTACATTTGCTGAGGAGAGCTTTACTTCCAACTATGTGGTCAATTTTGGAATAGGTGTGGTGTGGTGCTGAAAAAAATGTATATTCTGTTGATTTGGGGTGGAGAGTTCTGTAGATGTCTATTAGGTCTGCTTGGTGCAGAGCTGAGTTCAATTCCTGGGTATCCTTGTTGACTTTCTGTCTCGTTGATCTGTCTAATGTTGACAGTGGGGTGTTAAAGTCCCCCATTATTAATGTGTGGGAGTCTAAGTCTCTTTGTAGGTCACTCAGGACTTGCTTTATGAATCTGGGTGCTCCTGTATTGGGTGCATATATATTTAGGATAGTTAGCTCTTCTTGTTGAATTGATCCCTTTACCATTAAGTAATGGCCTTCTTTGTCTGTTTTGATCTTTTTTGGCTTAAAGCCTGTTTTATCAGAGACTAGGATTGCAACCCCTGCCTTTTTTTGTTTTCCATTTGCTTGGTAGATCTTCCTCCCTCCTTTTATTTTGAGCCTATGTGTGTCTCTGCCCGTGAGATGGGTTTCCTGAATACAGCACACTGATGGGTCTTGACTCTTTATCCAATTTGCCAGTCTGTGTCTTTTAATTGGAGCATTTAGCCATTTACATTTTAAAGTTAATATTGTTATGTGTGAATCTGATCCTGTCATTATGATGTTAGCTGGTGATTTTGCTCATTAGTTGATGCAGTTTCTTCCTAGTCTCGATGGTCTTTACATTTTGGCATGATTTTGCAGTGGCTGGTATTGGTTGTTCCTTTCCATGTTTAGTGCTTCCTTCAGGAGCTCTTTTAGGGCAGGCCTGATGGTGACAAAATCTCTCAGCATTTGCTTGTCTGTAAAGGATTTTATTTCTCCTTCACTTATGAAGCTTAGTTTGGCTGGATATGAAATTCTGGGTTGAAAATTCTTTTCTTTAAGAATGTTGAATATTGGCCCCCACTCTCTTCTGGCTTGTAGAGTTTCTGCCGAGAGATCCGCTGTTAGTCTGATGGGCTTCCCTTTGAGGGTAACCCGACCTTTCTCTCTGGCTGCCCTTCACATTTTTTCCTTCATTTCAACTTTGGTGAATCTGACAATTATGTGTCTTGGTGTTGCTCTTTTGAAGAAGTATCTTTGTGGCGTTCTCTGTATTTCCTGAATCTGAATGTTGGCCTGCCTTGCTAGATTGGGGAAGTTCTCCTGGATAATATCCTGAGGAGTGTTTTCCAACTTGGTTCCATTCTCCCCGTCACTTTTGGGTACACCAATCAGACGTAGATTTGGTCTTTTCACATAGTCCCATATTTCTTGGAGGCTTTGCTCATTTCTTTTTATTCTTTTTTCTCTAAACTTCCCTTCTTGCTTCATTTCATTCATTTCATCTTCCATCACTGATACTCTTTCTTCCAGTTGATCGCATCAGCTCCAGAGGCTTCTGCATTCTTCATGTAGTTCTCGAGCCTTGGTTTTCAGCTCCATCAGCTCCTTTAAGCACTTCTCTGTATTGGTTATTCTAGTTATACATTCTTCTAAATTTTTTTCAAAGTTTTCAACTTCTTTGCCTTTGGTTTGAATGTCCTCCCGTAGCTCAGAGTAATTTGATCGTCTGAAGCCTTCTTCTCTCAGCTCGTCAAAGTCATTCTCCGTCCAGCTTTGTTCTGTTGCTGGTGAGGAACTGCGTTCCTTTGGAGGAGGAGAGGCGCTCCGCTTTTTAGAGTTTCCAGTTTTTCTGCTCTGTTTTTTCCCCATCTTTGTGGTTTTATCTACTTTTGGTCTTTAATGATGGTGATGTACAGATGGGTTTTTGGTGTGGATGTCCTTTCTGTTTGTTAGTTTTCCTTCTAACAGACAGGACCCTCGGCTGCAGGTCTGTTGGAGTACCCGGCCGTGTGAGGTGTCAGTCTGCTCCTGCCGGGGGGTGCCTCCCAGTTAGGCTGCTCAGGGGTCAGGGGTCAGGGACCCACTTGAGGGGGCAGTCTGCCCGTTCTCAGATCTCCAGCTGCGTGCTGGGAGAACCACTGCTCTCTTCAAAGCTGTCAGACAGGGACATTTAAGTCTGCAGAGGTTACTGCTGTCTTTTTGTTTGTCTGTGCCCTGCCCCCACAGGTGGAGCCTACAGAGGCAGGCAGGCCTCCTTGAGCTGTGGTGGCCTCCACCCAGTTCAAGCTTCCCAGCTGCTTTGTTTACCTAAGCAAGCCTGGGCAATGGCAGGCGCCCCTCCCCCAGCCTCGCTGCCGCCTTGCAGTTTGATCTCAGACTGCTGTGCTAGCAATCAGCGAGACTCCGTGGGGGTAGGACCCTCCGAGCCAGGTGCAGGATATAATCTCCTGGTGCGCCGTTTTTTAAGCCTGTCGGAAAAGTGCAGTATTCCAGTGGGAGTGACCCGATTTTCCAGGTGCTGTCTGTCACCACTTTCTTTGACTAGGAAAGGGAACTCCCTGACCCCTTGCACTTCCTGAGTGAGGCAATGGCTTGCCCTGCTTTGGCTCGTGCATGGTGCGTGCACCCACTGACCTGCGCCCACTGTCTGGCACTCCCTAGTGAGATGAACCCGGTACCTCAGATGGAAATGCAGAAATCACTGGTCTTCTACATCGCTCACGCTGGGAGCTGTAGACCGGAGCTGTTCCTATTCGGCCATCTTGGCTCCTCCCCCGCTTTCTTTTTTTTTTTTTGAGACAGCGTCTCACTCCCTCACCCAGGCTGAAGAGCAGTAGTGCAATCTCAGCTCACTGCAACCTCTGTCATCCAGGTTCAAGTGATCCTCCTGCCTCAGCCTCCCGAGTAGCTGGGATTACAGGCATGCACCACCATGCCCAGCTAATTTTTGTATTTTTAGTAGAGATGAGGTTTCACCATGTTGGCCAGGCTGGTCTCGAACTCCAGACCTCGAGAGATCCACCTTCCTCAGCCTCCCAAAGTGCTGGAATTTCAGGCATGAGCCATAGCACTAGGTATCATTCTGCCATCTTTGTTTAACAATTGAACTCATCTAAAATGTATTGCACAAGTATGAATGTGTTAATAGAAATAAAATAGAAAAAATAAAGTAGGAGTTTAAAAAGTATTTTATAGAGAAAATAATAGTTGGGTAGAAAATTATTGACAGCAAAATACAATGTATGTTTAGCATGCTGGTATAAATATTTGGTTAAAATGAACAGAATTATTATAACCAAAACATACAAATAAACAGTAATGATACTAAGTGCTTGACAATTCTTAGAGAATATACAGTACACTTTTAAACTATATTTATTCATGTGATCTAAGCAAAAGCTACAGAAAGATTTGGGGGATTTGGGAGCACAGGATCACAACACGGAGGAAACAGAAAATAAGGATGTCATCAGACTCAGGACTGAGTTTGCTCCCTTCTCTAAAAATATAAAGATATGCCACATCCAGAAATTCATAGAAAAGGAAGTTCTTGCTCCAAGCCTAAATCATTTTCCTAAGTTAAATGAGCAAATAAGTCTCCATCCTTCTCTAATCTGAACACTTTAGGTTATTTCTAACACTCTCAAGCTGCAGATCAAAGAGCCCAGAAAGACAACTTTCTGCTATTACCCATTATGGTTTTAAGAGTCTATGTGAAAATGCAAATAAATAAATAAATATTTAAAAATAAATAAAGTCTAAGTTAATTGACTAACAGTTAATATAATCTAATGGGAGAATGTCTTCAGCCACGGTGTCTGCCAGGAGAAGAAGGGTGATCATCTTCTGGTCCCCACTCCCCATCAAGATTGTCCATCACCCCTCCCACTGAGTGCCTAGAAAATGCAGATGAGTGCATACTGGGAATAAGAGAATGAATAGAAAGAATACTCAAGTATTCTAGATTAAGTACTAAGAAACTCATCTGATGCCTTGCAACTGCAGCTGCCCTTTCTAAGCTTTCTCTGCATAACTTAAGGGGAACTAGAAATCTTCAGGATAGGGGAGACATACACAGGCACAGACATGCTCAAAAACATTTTTTTTTTTTTTTGAGACCGAGTTTTGCTCTTGTTGCCCAGGGTGGAGTGCAATGGCACCATCTTGGCTCACCGCAACCTCCGCCTCCTGGGTTCAAGCAATCCTCCTGCCTCAGCCTCCCAAGTAGCTGGAATTACAAGCATGCACCACCACGCCCAGCTAATTTTGTATTTTTAGTAGAGACAGGGTTTCTCCTTGTTGGTTAGGCTGGTCTCGAACTCCCGACCTCAGGTGATCTGCCTGCCTTGTCCTCCCAAAGTGCTGGGATTACAGGCGTGAGCCACCACGCCCAGCCAAAAACAGATCGTTTGATAAGCAAATGTTGATGCAAATGTTATTTTGGAGTGAAGAAACTGGAACAACAAGGGACTAAACTGCTTGGTATAACAATGTAAAAAAGTTTTCTTGCGTACAGAGAATATTAGTTCTATAACTGATTTTTCTTCTTCAGATGTAAATGTTTAGGACCAGGGAAATGGAAGCCAGGCACCAACCCGGGAGTGATAAATGATCAACAGATCAATGTAGTGCTATTGAGTACACAAAGGAGTCACTGAGGCAGGGTTAAGCACTTGCTCAAGCACTCTTGGTGGTAGAAAAATTAGAAAGGACAGAATTCTTGTTCCAAAAGAGCTGGCTGGGGCCTCAGGAGAAAGACTGCTTTGTGAAAGGGCCTGATGAAAGGTCTAGGATTGGGGACATTAAAATTTAAATAGATATTAAAAGTTAAATAGAATTTAAAACACTAATATCATTAGGAATCATTTTGTCTGTTTGTTTTAAAAGACAGGATCTTGCTCTGTCCCCTAGGCTGGAGTGCAGTGGTACCATCATAGCTCACTGTAGCCTTGAACTCCTGGGCTCAAGCTATCCTCCCCCATCAGCCTACAAAGTTCTGGGATTACAGGCATGAGCCACCGTGTCTGGCCTAAAAGGTTGTTTTTAAGGAAATAAACTTTCTTCTTATGAACTATTTAATGAATCTGTTTTATTGAACGATTTTGAGGAAATTAAGAAATCATTCTTTTTAATTTGTGAACATGTCAAGTTGTTCATGCAAACTGATCTTAGAAAAATCAAAATACTTCTTTTCTTAAATGATACCATCTGGCAAAATGACCAGGCATTCACTTATAACACAATACTCTGTGAATGCATGATCATTAAATATGATAGTGATGAAAGTTAAAGAATTGGGCTTTGTTTCTTTTTGTGGAAGAAAAAGTTAAGCCATCAGAATGATGGCATTTGAGTACATAAAGGAGTCATTGAGGCAGGGTTAAACACTTGCTCAGCCATTCTTGGTGGTAGGAAAATTAGAAAGGAGAGGATTCTTGTTCCAAGAGGTCAGATAACCAGATAACCATGGGTAGGCATATAAATGGCCCAGGCTGAGCTGCACTGCAAGATCAAGTGTTCCTTGGGTTGAATAATCTCCAAGAGAAAGAGCTCACTAGCAGAAACTCTCTTGTAAAGTGCAGACATATCAAACATTTTAACATTTTCTTTAATGTCAGAGTTCCCCTAAACCCACATCTTAGGCTATAAATGCTCCTTTATCACCTGCCTCTTCATTTTATCTTTATCTAAAAAGAAAGCTGCCAACTTCAGTAGATATTTTTCAAATATTCTAACCAGTTTTAAATGAAATTGAATGTAAATTATTAATGCAACACATAAAAATCATTCTAACAAAATGTTCTGCTGTACTGATATCCCATTTTTTATGTGAGATGACTCATTCTAATGTCCCTTAATCTGTATTTTTCTTTATTCTATATTCAATAAGTCCCTCTTGGACTCAATTGATTTTATATCCTCAACACTCGATTTCTTAGAAAAGTTTTTATTAAAACACCAGCAGAAGCAGTGAATAGTAGTGCTTAGTGACCTTTTCCCATCCAGCACACTAGAAAAATCAGATTATACTTTTCATAATTTCATGGCATCCACTTTTCTTGACTTGTACCCAAAAAATATATACAATACTTCTTCTGAAAAGTATATATCAAGTAGCACCAAGAGAGGTCTGATAATATTTTATTCTTTTTCTAAGCATAACTGGACTCTAGAAAATCAAGTAAATTTCAGAAAACTTTAAAACTGGGAAGAGTAAAGTTACTAATGTCACAGTTTAAAAATTCCATCAATACCTCATGAGTTTTCCAGAAAAGGTCAACCAGAAAATAAAGGTCTTCCATTTTTTGATCTATAATTTTAGGAAAAATAATTTACTTGCAGCATTTTTTTTTTCTATTTAGGTACTGTTGTGCTTTTGTCCTTGTTAAGCTACTCTTGGGTTTTAATCAGTTATCCAGTTTTTTAAGATTATGCTGAAATCTTATTTACTAATATGCAAGTAACTATTTTTACTTGATGCCATTTGAGTAACTAATGGCTTGTTCTCTAATCTATCCATTAAATGGAAGTGTTAAATAGCACTGAATCTAGGACTGGCTCCTCTGGGTCATCATGTATCCCTCTTACTTCTAAAACATTAATAGTCACCTTTGGGTGATACTACCATGGTCTGTCTGGTTCCAATACCCTCCTACCCCTATCCCTTGTCTCCCCACAGTGGAAGCCACTTAAGCTTTCCTGGATGTTCAATCTTATCTCAGGCTTTGGACCAACAGCATCCTCACGAGAAGGGAACTTTAGCTCAATGTAGAGCACTAGATATCAAGTCAACCTTGCTATTAGTTCAATTCTGAAAACTGACTCTTTGGCAAAGTTCTAACAACAGGCTTCTGTCTTGTTTTCCTGAAATCAAGTCCCAGCTGATCCTCTAGATGTGGTAACTGGGTCCCTTGCTCATTTCCTTCTGTGCCTGGGCCTTTGTTCTGATAAAACCATTATGTCAGCTCTCTGGATACCATAAAGTATCTTCCTGAAATAATCTTTCCCCCAGTGTCTATAGTTATGCCTTGGTCCCAACCCATCTCCAGCCTCCCTCACTCAAGGACATGTCTAGTTCCAACTTCCAGGTTCCCTAGATCACTTCTGTTCCAGTTAACACCGTCAGGTGTGACTCTGCTTTGCAATATAAGACAACCAGTTGTAAATTCACTAACAGAATGCACAATTGATCAAACAGCGTATTTTCACAGATTTATAAACCTATAAAATTTATGTAGGTTGAGTAAGCAAATGTCTTCCCAAATCCATAAAATGTTAACATTATCATTTTCTCTATGTAATATGCCACCATTATCACCACAGAATAGACCACAAAATGTAAATTTTGTATATTGTTATAAGAAATGGTACAATATTTACTGAATACTAAATCCCATTCTCTCCCAGGCTCTTGAAAAAAACATTAGGCAAACAGATTCATAATTTCATGGAATACATATATTTTACTTCCTTTCTTTTTGAAATAGAGACCTTAAAAATGCCTTCAGGTGCTTCATCTATTCTTCGTAATCCTAAAAAGTTGGTTAGTAGCGCTGTGATGCTCTGCTCTATTGTGTACACTAGCAGTTTCACTTTATAATTTTCTTGTTGAGGAAAATGACACATGTAAATAAGTTAAACAGCACCAGCCAGGTGTGATGGCTCACGCCTGTAATCCCAGCAATTTGGGAGGCTGAGATGGTGGATCACTTGAGGTCAGGAGTTCAAGACCAGCCTGGACAACATAGTGAAACCCCGTCTCTTACTAAAAACACAAAAATTAGCTGGGCTTGGTGGCACATGCCTATAATCCCAGCTACTCAGGAGGCTGAGGCAGAAGAATGGCTTGAACCCAGGAGGCGGAGGTTGCAGTGAGCCGAGATTACGCTACTGCACTCCAGCCTGGGCAACAGAGCAAGACTCCGTCTCAAAAACAAAAAAAACCAAAAACAAACAAACAAAAAACGGGGCAAATGAATGATCTATTGTTGAAAAAGAAAGCATCTGGAGAAAAATAACTCTCATATGCTACTAGCAGAAACATAACTTGTTTCATTCTTTTCAGAAAGCCTTTGCACAATTTGTTTCCAGAGCTTTCTTAAAAGTCGACTCATTTTGACCCAATAATTCTCTTTCTAGGAGTCTTTCCAAAAAAATTAGACATTTATTCAAAGATTTATATACAAAAATGTTTCATTTATATCAAAAGAAAAATAGAAACAACCTAAGTAAGCAATGAAGGTTGATTCAATAAATCACAGTACAACTATCTATATGATGGGCTATAATACTTAATGAAATCAGGGAAATCCAGAAAATAAATTGTGCTCTGGTTAGTCAAGAGTCTTCGAATAGTAGGTGATTTTAATTTTCTTTTCCTTTTTCATTGTTCTTCCTCTTCTTTTCTTTTCTTCCTTCCTCTCTCTCTCTCTGTTCTGTAGTTTCCAAATGTTCTATACTTAACATGCATTGCTCTTTAAATAACCCCTCCCCCAAAAAGAAAGAATTGAAGAGAATGTAAAATAATTTTTTTTTTTTTTGAGACAAAGTCTCACTCTGTCGCCCAGGCTGGAGTACAGTGGCGCGATCTCAGCTCACTGCAAACTCCATCTCCTTGGTTCAAGCGATTCTCCTTCCTCAGCCTCCCAAGTAGCTGGGATTACAGGCATGTGCAACCACACCTGGCCAATTTTTGTATTTTTAGTAGAGACAGAGTTTCACCATATTGGCCAGGCTGATCTCGAACTCCTGACCTTGTGATCCACCCGCCTCGGCCTCCCAAAATGCTGGGATTACAGGTGTGAGCCACCGTGCCCAGCCGAGAATGTAAGATAATTTAAGGGCATGAGAGTTTCTTCAAGTATAATAAAGAAAAATCTAATTGATTTCTTTTTAATTCCTTAATAAATTAATGGGTAATTTTCCAAAAAGCAGTGGTCGCTGCTGTAACTTCCTAAACTACCTCTGGGTAATGACTGCCCCCATCCTCAGAACACTGTCCCAGCAGATCTCTAAAGCAGATGTTAAGGCAAAAGTTAGCAAGCAAATAAACCAAAAAACCCTATATGCAAGGACCCTATTTAAATACAATATGCTGCAGCAAACTCCAGCGGTCTAATCCCACCAGTAGATTTTTACTGTAGTTTGGAGGATCAGATTTGAGAATAAGCTGAGAAATGAGTTGTGAGTGGGCTCCAAACTTTAAAACTTACCTTCGATTATAAACCACCTTCAATTATAAACCATTAGCAGGAAATGATCATGGATGGTGTGAACACTCACTGAATGCTTACCAATTTTGTCCCACTTCATAGTAATACACATGAGAATAAAATGAATATATATAAATCTTTATTATAAACCTCTTCAGAGAGAAGAAAAGCACAAGGTCACATATCTAGGTAGTGGCAAATCCAGCTCTGTCTGCTTCCAAAGCTCATCTTCTTTCTAATACACTACTTAGGACTAAAGATCCTGCCAGTTCAAAAGAGGACAATTAAAGAGAATGTATGTAAAGTACTTTGCACTGTGGTGGGTATTGGGCAGGTGCTCAATAAATAGTAGTCTTTTTTATAATTGCTAAAAGTTAGTAACTTGTGTACATTCTCATTTGAAAAAAATAAAAATTTAGGGAAACACACCTGAAATGAATTTCAAAGATCTTCTGTTAATTGAAGTGGCTTACTGAGGAAACAAAGCACAACTCCCCAGGACTCCAATATGCAGAATTCACAATATGGCAAACTACTGTTTCTTCAGAATGATCATGATAGGAGGCTGGTTATTATTGCCACTTAAAAATGAATATATGAACTACCAATGTTTTACATTGTACATACAATAAAACCCCCAACCACATACTAAAAATAAGTTTATATTTTTAACGATGAAGAAAGTTCAGAATCTTTTACAAATTATCAACATAAATTGTCACTGTGGTTTATAAACAGTACTCATCAGTAAAGATTTTCAGTAAAAGGAGCCCTAGATAATCCAACTTTCACTACCTTACAAAGTTCATTGCTAATAGGCTGCTTTCAATTGCAGCTAAGAAAAATATTTTGGGTTTTGTAATTAAACATATTTAGGATCAGACTTCAAGCAATATGAATCTACAGAAAACAGCTACTTTCATGTGGTTAGATTAGGACTTGTATTGAATTCTCAGCAGTATGAAAGGTTCTTGTGCAAGGGCAGGGGCTGCATTCTCAAGATCTTTCTGATCTTGCCTTAACACTTGGTTATCTGCCTATAACATATATTCGACAGAAATCCACTGACGGACAGCTGCTCCATCCCAGCTAGAAAATGACCGCTGTCTTTCTTGGCTGAAGTAAGAATCTGGAAGTTCTCAAGTCTGTCAGATCGGTTACTTTTTCAACAACTTATGGGGCCACTTTTGTCTCAGAGCCAATCCTACTTTCGGTAGATCTTCTTAGACTCTCCGGTTCTGTTGCAAATGCTAATGAATCAGTTCAGGAGTTGAATTTCAAGAAAGTATCATGTAAGAGAAGCACCCTATTACAGTACAACTAACTACTGTGTTGTACATTGTGAAGTAAGTTATTTAACACCGACATCACATGCTGCTCTCAGCCATGGAAAACTGTGCAGGGGACACTATAATAGGTCAATGAGATTAACTCACTCCTGGAACACTGAAGGCACTTTTTTCCTGTATCCTAGATATCTAAAGTGGATTACAGATGAGATGAAAACAGCCTCCCATCCCACAGCCAGATCTAGAATAGATCTAGAAATGTGAGGTTCAAGTAGGGTCTATTATTAACCTATTCTTAATAGAAAGGGTCTATTAATCATTATTAATCACAATATGTCCTGAAGTGTATTATTAATTATTAATATATTATTAATTAATATATATTATTAATAATATATATTAATCACAATATATCCTGAAAGTCCAGCTTGACACTAAAATACCTAAAAGGGCATTCATATGTCTAGCTAGATTACTAAGAGAAAAATTACACCATTAACAGGAAATAAAGTCACAAGAACTCAGATTCATAGGATTAAGAGTGAAGAAGTACTTCAAACATCATCCCAAATCTACAAACTCATCTGGAGGGAAAGATGAGGAATTCTGTTTTGAGCTGTTAAGTTTCAGATGCCAATAAGTAAAGAGCAGAAATTAGGAGAGAAGCTAAAACTGAAGGAAATCGGTGTGTGTGTGTGTGTGTGTGTGCGTGCGTGTGTGTGTGTGTGCGCATGTGCATGTGTGTGCAGTATATTAGTCACATTCATAGCCTTGACAGCCGACGCCATGGGAATTAGACAAGGGTCATGAGAGAAAAAGCATGGACAAAGAAAATGAAGGCAAAGGCCAGGCACAATGGCTCATGCCTGTAATCCCAGCATTTTGGAAGGCCAAAGCTGGAGTGGATCACTTGAGGTCAGGAGTTTGAGACCAGCCTGGCCAACATGGTGACACCTCACCTCTGCAAAAAAAAAATACAAAAATTAGCTGGGCATGGTGGCACGCGCCTGTGGTCCAGCTACCCAGGAGGCTGAGGCAGGAGAATGGCTTGAACCCAGGAGGCAGAGGCAACAGTGAGCCAATAACATGCCACTGCACTCCAGCCTGGGAAACAGAGCAAGACTCTGTCTCTAAAAAAAGAAAAGTCCAGGCGCGGTGGCTCACGCCTATAATTCCAACACTTTGGGAGGCTGAGGCGGGCGGATCACGAGTTCAAGAGATGGAGACACCATCCTGGCCAACATGGTGAAACCCCATCTCTACTAAAAATACAAAAATTAGCTGGGCCATGGTGGTGCATGCCTGTAGTCCCAGCTACTCAGGAGACTGAGGCAGGAGAATCACTTGAACCCAGGAGGCGGAAGTTGCAGTGAGCCAAGATCATGCCATTGTACCCCAGCCCAGGTGACAATGTGAGACTCTGTCTCAAAAAAAAAAAAAAAAAGAATGGTTACAAAAGGAAAGTATAGATGGAACTGATAGGTAAGAAAAGAATTGAAATAATTCAGTACCACAAAAGTCCAAGGAAACATTTCAAGAAAGCAGCTCTCGGCAGAAGTTTAAGAATATGGTGAGAGACTGAGGAAAATGTAGACTGAGAAGACTGAATGTGGCAATGTTTTATTCAAAGCATTTGGGGTTGCAAAAGAACACTCAATATAGTTCAAGTGAGGGAGAATTTACTTAATAATCAGAGAGGCAATCTCACAGAGAAAGAAAAAGTTGTCTTATAGGCACTTGACTCAGGCAACTAGGTCTAGTCATTCTCTCGAAGTTTATATGATGAATCTCATCTTCTCTATTTGTTCTCTTGAGCAGCTTCCTCTTCTTGCACACAGACCAATACGGTTGCCTGACACAAAAATATATTAAATTATAGGGCAAACACCCACCATAAACTGAAACCTCCTCATATTAATGCAAACTGATTAGAAAATATGATAAAATGATAAGCTGTGGGTCAGCAATTGAGTTCACCAGCCTTGGATTATGTGCACATTCCTATCCAGTCAACTGTAGTGAGGGAGGAGTCACATGCTATAACCATGGCCAACAAAGCCTCCAGCAAAGGCCATGGCCTGAGAAAAAATGTCAAAAGCATGTATAGGAAGTGTGGACCACAAAAAAAAAAATGTGTTTATTTCAGGCAACCTAGAAGTGACTGTTACAATGAATCCAATGTTCAAAAACATGGGGTTGCCTACCCTGTACAAGGTGCTATAGACTGAACTCAAATGTTGCGTCTTCCCAAATGTCAGCAGAGTAGGAGACAAAGCAAGTTGAGGACAACCACATAACAACAAACTATGAACAATGTAACTGCCATATAAAAGTGATCAGATGACTAGAGGAAACACAAATGACTTTATAGAAGAGGTGATATTTTTGCTGAGCTCTGAAAAATGACTAAGATTTTAATAAGAGATGGAAACAGGGAGATTGGGAAGGAGAAGGCACAATCTAGAAGACACTGTCTCCACTGATAGTCTGAGAACCTCCTGAGGGTAAGGAATATTTCCCACGAACCTTTATATCTCCAGTGCCTCATACACTATTGCTGCAAGGTAGGAGCTCAATTAATGTTAGTATTTTATTATTAAATATTGTGATGGTCAATACTATGTGTCAACTTGGTTGGATTGAAGGATGCAAAGTATTGTTCTTGGGTGTGTCTTTAAGGGTGCTGCCAAAGGAGACTGACATTTGAGTCAGAGGACTGGGAAAGGCAGACCCACCCTCAATCTGAATGGGCACCATCCCATCTAACCAGCTGCCAGTGTGGCTAGAATAAAGCAGGCAGGAGAAAATGAAATTGCAGATTTGCTGAGTCTTACAGCCTTCATCAGCAAAATTATGAGAATGTTTTGAGCCTGTTTAGAAAATAACAATATTCAGTACTTGAAGACTATTGAGACATAAAAGGAAGGGTAAGTTTAAGGACATATTATGAAGGGCCTTAACATAAACTAAGCATTAGCATTAGCATTAGCATGGACCTTTAGCATGGTGTACGGAATATCACTGCCCTGGAAACAAAGAGACTAAATTGTAGCACCAGATCTGATAAAAGTTTCCTTGACCATTTCTCATGTATAACATGAGACTGGCAAATTTTCTCCACCACTTCAGACAGTTGTTTTGATATGTGAATTAAATAATGTTGTATTGAAGATGGTGTCATTCACCTTTGTATTCCCCACAGCACCCATCACAGAACTTTGCCCAGTAAATGTATAATGGCTTTAATTCATTTATAAACTGTAAAACTATTCAAATATAACAAGACACATGCACGCATATGTTCATTGCTGCACTATTCACAATAGCAAAGCCACAGAATCAACCTAAATGCGCGTCAGTGATAGACTGGATAAAGAAAATGTGGCACATATACACCACAGAACACTATGCAGCCATAAAAAAGAACAAGATCATGTCCTTTGCAAAGACATGGATAGAGATGAAGGCCATTATCCTTAGCAAACTTACACAGGAACACAAAACCAAACACCTCATGTTGTTATTGACAAGCAGGAGCTAAAGGATGAGAACACATCGACACATAAAAAGGAACAGCCCACCACACTAAGGTCTTTTGGAGAGTGGAGAGTGGGAGGAGGAAGAGAATCAGGAAAAATAACTAATGGATACTAGGCTTAATAATGGGTGATGAAATAATCTGCACAACAAACCCCCATGACACAAGTTTACTTATGTAACAAATCTCCACTTATAGCCCTGAACTTAAAATAAAAGTTAAAAAAAGCAAAATGTTCAATCCTCACAATTAATAAACCCATTGAACTTAGTACATATGCAATAATTATGTGTTCAACTGAGTTAGTTTTTATTTCTGTATATATTTTCTAAGAATATTGCCACATAAATTCTATTTAAAAAAAAAGGGCATTGAAAATCTGTGATGTCAACAGCAAAGATGTGGAATCAACCAGAATGTCCATCAATGACAGACGGGATAAAGAAAATGTACATACACACCATGGAATACTATGCAGCCACAAAAAGAATGAGATCAAGTCCTTTGCAGGGACATGAATAGAGCTGGGGGCCATTATCCTTAGCAAACTAATGCAGGAACAGAAAACCAAATACCACGAATTCTAGGTGGGAGCTAAATGATGAGAACACACAGACTTACACAGAGGGTAGCAGTATACACTGGGGCCTATTGGAGGGTGGAGGGTGGGAGGGAGAGAAGGAGGAACTATAACTAGTACGTTCCAGGCTTAATACCTGGGTGATGAAATAATCTGTACAACCAACCCCCATGACACATGTTTACCTATGTAACAAACATGCACATCCTGCATATGTACCCCCAAACTTAAAAGTTAAATTTTAAAAAAAAGAAAGAAAAAGAAAATCTGTAATGTGACACTAGGGATGCAAAAATGAACCAGCCACCATTCTCTCCCTCAAAGAATTTACAATTTAATAAGGAAGATGAGACATCTGTGAAAATACATTTAATACCAACCAACACCTTGAAAATGGAAATGTGAGTAAGGGAGTATGCTTTGGTAGCTGTCCCCAAGGTGGCTGCCATTAATTTCTTCTCTCCCTGTATGTCCATGCCATGCTCTTGGCAATGAGCAGAGACTTTCTTTCCACTCTTGAATCTGAGCTGGCCTGTGATTTCAGTGACCAATACAGTACCATGGAAGTATTGGTATGTCAGTTCCAGACCTGGCCTTTAAGAGGAATGGCAGCTTCCATCTTGGTCTCCTGATGGCTTTAAGAAGTTGTCATGCTGAGAAAAGCCAAAGCTCAGAAGGATGAGGTACCATGCAGAGGTGGAGAAAGGCCAAGAAGCACTGAGGTGCCAAACTTGTGAGTGAATAAGCCTTCTTGAAAATTGATCCTCTAGTCCCAGCTACTTCAGCTGATGAGTCACGCACCCGAGTCCTTCATGTATTTCTAACCCACAAAATCACAAGCAAGGTAAAATTGATATTCTAAACCAGTAAGTCTGGGTTAGGGTTTTAGGCAGTAATAGATAAGTGAAATATATGGGATAACAGAAGAAAAATTAATTTCAAAGTAGAGAATAGGGAAAGGTTCATGAAAAGGTGGTTTTGAAGAACAGGTAACATTTGGATGGAAAAAATGGCTAAAGGAGATTGTGATTTTTCACAAAGAGAATTGAGTATATAATGAATCATGGAGGTAAGAAAGTCTAGAATATCTAAGTAATGGACAGAGATTTAGGTTGATTTAAATATGCACTGAAAAAGGCAGAATTTTGAGAAATTTTTAGTGGGAATAAGTGCAAGACTGAAACTTGGTTTCAAAAAATGCCTTGAAGGTATCTGAACTACATACTGTAGCCAACTGAGTGA
This sequence comes from Homo sapiens, assembly GCF_000001405.40. Classification (NCBI taxonomy): domain Eukaryota; kingdom Metazoa; phylum Chordata; class Mammalia; order Primates; family Hominidae; genus Homo; species Homo sapiens. Next base: position 43,893,396 of record NC_000012.12, on the reverse strand, counting down.
TTTAAGTTTTTAAGCACTAAAGTGTCATAATATCCTCGCCTCTTCACTGCTCTCACCCTAGTCCAAGCCTCCATGATGTCTTAAGACTTCTAGAAAAGCATTTGATTTGTCTCTGTGCTTCCATTCTTGTTCTCTTACAGTTCGTTTTTGACACAGCAACTAATATAATCAATTAAAAATATAAATTAGGTCATGTCCCTTCCTGTTCAAAATGCTTTGAGAATTTTACATTATACTTAGAATAAAATCCAAACTCCTTATCGTGGCTTCCTAAAAGAGCCAACATAATCTGTTTGTTGCCTATTTTACCAAATTCATCTCCTTCCATGCTCTACCTTCCACACTGCACTCCAGCTACGCTGTCCTTCTTGCTGTTTCTGGAACATCATATCCAGCTCATTTCACCTCTGGGCTTTTCACTTGCTATTCCTTCTGCCTAGACATTCCCTTAAGTCTATGATAAAATCTCACCTTTTCAGACAAGCCTCCCTGATGACCTTATCTAAAATAGTGCCTACCCCATCCCTTGTTCTTTTCCCCTTAAACTGCTTTATTTCATAATCTTGACTACCATCTGACATTTACTATTCATTTTTCATTTATCTCTTTATAGTCTATCTTCTCTTATAGATCAAAACATGACAGGATTTTATCTATTTTGTTTATCACTGTAGCCCCAGTATCTAAAATAGTGGCTGATACATTGCAGATTTCCAATAAATATCTCTGGAATTTCCAGAAGGAAAGAAGGAAGTTAGATTAGAGCTACACTTTAGGAAGAGTGTACAGAAAATAGTTAACATAGCAGGCCTAAATTGCTGTCCTTAGAAAAGCCTGCTTGCAAAGTTGGCCCTTGGCTGGCATCTGGGAACTTGGATTTGGGGAAGGTTCCTATCATTCCATAATTTAAAAGCCTGGTTCATTATGCCTAAAATGTTTATATAAACGATATGGCTTACCCTGAACACCTGCTTTCCTTCTGGGAGCCTGGAATTTGGTAACATGCCAAGCAGAGGGTGCCCACAAGACCAGCACCCAATAAGAACCCTGGCCAATGAGTCTCTAACAAGTTTTCCTGGTTGGCAACATTTCCTATGTGTTGTCACAATCCCTTGCTGAGGGAATTAAGTGTGTCTTGTGTGCCTTCACTGGGAAACAATTCTGGAAGTTTGTGCCTAATTTCCCCAGGATTTTGCCCCACGCACCTTTTCCCTTAGTTGACTTTCTTTTAGATTCTTTCTCCATAATAAATCCCAGCCATGAGTCCTAATATATGCTGAGGCCTGTGAATTCTCCTCATGAGTCATTAAAACTAGGGGTAGTCTTGACCTCCTGATACCAGGAGTATTTTGACAGCAGCTTATAAGGTAGATTTGATGACTAATTATTGACAAAGAGGCCAGTTTGGAAAAAGGCTATTGCAATGGTCCAAGAGAGAGATATTGACAGTGTAGCAGTGGAGGCAAAAAAAATGGATTTTTTTAAAGTATATTTTCCACGGGACAGTTTTGCAAACTTCTAATGAAAGACATTGGATCACAAGAGGTTAAGGAATAATAGAGAACTAAGGAAGCTGAGAGTAAGTGCAGACTACTTTAAAACAATAGAGGAAAAAAATATGAGTATGGTAGTTTTAGGGTAGCCTGATAAGGAGAAAATTATATAAAATAAGAGGATATGAGTGTTTTCTAGAAAGCAGTTAGAAAGCTTAAAAATTCAAGAGGTATTTCTGGCTGGGCGCAGTGGCTCATGCCTGTAATCCCAGCACTTTGGGAGGCCAAGGCGGGTGGATCATGAGGTCAGGGGATCGAGACCATCCTGACTGACATGGTGAAACCCTGTCTCTACTAAAAAAAATTAGCCGGGCATGGTGGTGGGTGCCTGTAGTCCCAGCTACTGGGGAGGCTGAGGCAGGAGAATGGCATGAACCTGGGAGGCGGAGCTTGCAGTGAGCTGAGATCACGCCACTGCACTCCAGCCTGGGTGACAGGGTGAGACTCCATCTCAAAAAAAAAAAAAAAAAAAAAAATTCAAGAGGTATTTCCCAAAAGAAATGTTAGAAGATGCCTTAAGAACAGAAACAGAATCTGGAAAAGTTAAGACTGTAAGCTCAATGAGGACAGGTACTTCTGTGTGTTTTGTTCACTGGCATATTCCATGCACCTTGAAGAATACCTAACACATGGTATGCACTCAACAAATACTCGTCAAATGGTAAGGGAAAAGGAAGGGCCATTATTTTAAAAGTAGATAAATCCTGAAATGTGGAGGAATAGAATTGAGACACATCAAAGATGATTGTATCATATCTGTCAGTAAAGTAAGAAGCTAGTGGGTGTGGAGGAGGATGGCCCTCCACATGCATGACCACCTCTGGGGAAATCATTAGGAATCAATAAGAAAGTAACAAAAATAAGTACTGTTTTTCTGCCGAGATTTCCTCTTTAGAAAAAAAAAAGTCAGATGAATTTTTAAAATACTTTTAGAATATATATAACATGACATCTAAGTGAACTGAGACAAATCAATGTCTTCTTTAAAAGTATTCATAAGAAAATATCCCTTGGGGCTGGGCGCAGTGGCTCACACCTGTAATCCCAGCACTTTGGGAGGCTGAGGCTGGTGGATCACGAGGTCAGGAGTTCAAGACCAGCCTGGCCAAGATGGTGAAACCCCGTCTCTACTGAAAATACAAAAACTAGCCGGGTGTGGTGGCGGATGCCTGTAATCCCAGTTACTCGGGAGGCTGAGACAGGAGAATCCCTTGAACCCAGGAGGCGGAGGTTGCAGTGAGCCGAGATTGCACCACTACACTCCAGCCTGGGTGACGAGCAAAACTCCGTCTCAAAAACAAAAACAAAAAAAAACAAAAAAGAAGAGAAAATATCCCTTGGATAAATTCTTTCTCTAGCCCTAAAATCTGATGAAAAAGAAAGATGCTACTTTTGTCTTCAAAACCCATCTAGAATGACAGGACATCTAAACGATTCTCATTTGAATGAAGAGAGAAAAGGTACTTTTACACTGCATGGGGTGAGATTTATTGACAGATTTTCACTAACGGTCTTACAGTCCAGACCAAAGTACGATGTCAACCTAACCCAGAAGTTGCAAAAAGAATTGTTAACATTTGAAAGGAAAATACCAAAAATTAAATTTCTATTTATTTTATAACTGCTTCAAAAAGAGAACACTAAAAATAAATCTATATTCCTACATTAAATGTCACTTCTCTCCTTTTTATGAGTTACATATTATAGAACATGTCATGAATACTGGGTGGCACTTCCCAAATACCCCTTTTAAGACCAAATGACTGATTTTCCAAGCTGCTGGGAAGATTGTCAGCTGACTGATCTCAACTCTCAACTGTATAAAAGCCCAAGCTCTCATCCCACTCAGGCCTACTCTGAAGGACTATTCTAGTTTCAGAGCTCCCTGTGTGGTGCTCATAGGGACCCTGTTGTGACTATATTGCAACCGAACTGGTGCCTCTGTCTTATCCTGCTCTGCCTTCTTCCCTTCCCAAGACCACTCCCCATTGAACTTCCTGCACCTCCTTCTCAGAGACTGCTACCCAATGAACCTGCAAGAAAGATGCAAGAATCACCCATTGTTTTAAGAATTAAATATAAACAAAATCTATGTCTTGCTTTTTTCATAGTTTCAGCAAAGTGGTTATAGTCTGTCCCTCAACAGTTCTCTTATTTATAAGTAAATGCGACATTAGAAAGTAAAAAAAAAGATAAATCCTACTTTCAAACAAAACTATTTCAACCACACCATTTATTATCTACATTGGGGTCCCCAACCTCTGGGTCGCAGACTGGTACAGGTCCATGGCCTGTTAGGAACTGGACTGCGCAGCAGATGAGTGGCTGGAGAGCAAGCATTACTGCCTGGGCTCCACCTCCTGTCAGATCAGTGGCAGCATTAGATTCTCATAAGAGTGTGAACCCTATTGTGAACTGCACATGCGAGGGATCTAGGTTGTGTGCTCCTTTTAAGAATCCAGGCCAGGCTCGGTGGCTCACACCTATAATCCCAGCACTTTGGGAGGCCAAAGCAGGTGGATAACTTGAGGTCAGGAGTTCAAGACCTGCCTGGCCAACATGGTGAAACCCCGTCTTTACTAAAAATACAAAAATTAGCCAGGCATGGTGGCAGACGCCTGTAATCCCAGCTACTCATGAGGCTGAGGCAGGAGAATTGCTTGTACCCGGGAGGCGGAGGTTGCAGTGAGCCAAGATCATGCCATTGCACTCCAGCTTGGGTGACAAGAGCAAAACTCCATCTCAAAAAAAAAAAAAAGAATCCAACGCCTGAGGATCTAAAGTGCAAGTTTCATCCTGCAACCATCTCCTGCTCCCCTAACCCTGGTCACTGAAAAAACTGTCTTCCACAAAACCCACCCCGGTGCCAAAAAGGTTGGGGACCGCTGATCAACATTACCTTGGGCAACTTAATCTCTGATCCTCAGTTTCTTCATGATTTAAAAAAATTGTAATAGTATCTATCTCATTAAGTTGTTGTAATAATTAACTAATGTGGCAAGGCATGGTGGCTCACACCTGTAATCCCAGCACTTTGGGAGGCCGAGGTGGGCGGATCACGAGGTCAGGAGATCGAGACCATCCTGGCTAACGTGGTGAAACCCCGTCTCTACTAAAAATACAAAAAAATTAGCCAGGTGTGGTGGCAGGCACCTGTAGTCCCAGCTACTCGGGAGGCTGAGGCAGGAGAATGGCGTGAACCCGAGAGGCGGAGCTTGCAGTGAGCCGAGATCATGCCACTGCACTCCAGCCTGGGTGATAGAGCAAGACTCCATCTCAAAAAAAAAAAAAAAAAAAAAAGAAAACTAATGTGCACAAAAGTACACAATAAGGGCTCAATAAATATCCCCTAACTTCTCTCCATTCATTATCCATGGGGCATGAGTTCACAATTGCTTTTCCATAAGCAATTCATTCGCACTGATGATGCAAACCCCTACTAACAAAGAGCACATAATTATAAAATAGTTGTATGGCTAATGGATGGCATATCTGATCAATAAGATATGGGAAAGGATTATTCATACTACATAGAATCACATACAGAATAGTAAATTAGTCTTTACTGAGCCTTTAGAATATATGAAGTACAATGTGGAGGGTTTGGCATTTTGTATTTTCTTTAATCCTTGAAACAATACTGTGAGGTAGGTATTATGCCTATCTCTCAGATATGAAACTGGTGATGTTCGGAGAAAGTAAATTATTTAAGGTTACACATCTAGTAAGTGGCACAACCAACATCTGAACTTAGTTTTTCTGCACCTAGACTTTTGTATTATACTATAGAATCTCTTTTGCTTTACTTCTCTTCTACAGATTTGCCCCAAATAGAGGCTAACTTTGGCACACCAGCTATACAAAAACACATAGAGCCATCTTAGCTTCCACAGCATAGCACAGAAAGAAGGGATCTGTAACTGCTATTTTGATCCTCACTATGAAACAAACAAATGGTCTCACCTGCAGCCACATAATTTACTCTTACAGCCACAGCCCCTTTCCTTCCACACCCAGTCCATAAAATCTGTCTTCTCATCACTGTTGTTCTTGAGTAGATTGGTCCTTGTCTGGCTATTGAAGCTACCCCAGCCCTCTATCTGATCCTAAATAAGTACAACTTCTGCTGAACTTTCTGCCGTCATAAGTGTAACTTCTGCTGAATTTTTTTCCATCCAGGCCTTGGCAGTGAGATGCATCAGAGCTGTTGGAGTCAGGGTGCTGGCGGTCTTCTGCAGCAGGGGCACCTGTCCTGAGATCAAATGTCTGCACTGGCTGAAGGGCATGGTCACAAACCAGACTAAACCCTAAGTAGACTCCAGTTCCACATTTTAAAGAACATCCTTAGTTTAGTTTCTTGTAAAAGCCCCTATATATGCCACAATAGTTGTCTTCCAACTGTTTAATTTTTCATGATGCTATTTCAACAACCTACAATAATTTGTTTTACTCAGTTTTGTGTACATTGCACAAAACAGCAGGAAGAGAAGTACCTTCTTCACTTTTAACTGGCATTAATCATTACTCTCCCCAGGGAATAGCTATTTATAAGATTCTCAATAACATTTTATCCTAGGAAACTTCCTGAGCACTGGATTCTAGCTTTGTCCCAGGCAGTACTTCTGCTTCTTGCTTTAGGTAAAAATGACAGCAGGTGCAGCCACCCAACCCCTCACTGAAAATAAGTGAGGCCCAGGCCAGGCACGGTGGCACACACCTGTAATCCCAGCAGTTTGGGAGGCCTAGGAGGGCGGGTCACTTGAGGTCAGGAGCTCGAGACCAGCCTCACCAACATGGTAAAACCCCATCTCTACAGAAACATATAAAAATTAGCTGGTTGTCGTGGCATGTGCCTGTAGTCCCAGCTACTCCAGAGGCTGAGGCATGAGAATTGCTTGAACCCAGGAGGCAGAAGTTGCAGTGAACCGAGATCACGCCACAGCACACCAGTCTAGACAAGAGAGAGAGACTCTGTCTCCAAAAAAAGAGAAAATAGGTGAGGCCCACGGACACATAGAGCGGAACAATTCACACTGGGGCCTTTCTGGGGATGGAGGGTGGGAGGACAGAAAGGATCACGAAAAATAATTAATGGGTACTAGGCTTAATACCTGACTAATGAAATAACGTGTACAATAAACCCCCTTGACACACATTTACCTATGTAGCAAACCTGCACATCCTGCACATGTACCCCTGAACTTAAAAGTTAAAAAAAAGAAATGGCTACCTCGCCAGAAAAAAAACATTTCTCAAACCTATGTCCCCCTCAAATTATTGCTGTCTCTTTCCTCACCTTCAAAGCCCAATTTTTTAAGCTATGCAAGCTGTTTGAATTTGCCTAAGTACTATTTACTCCTGAACCAACTGCAATCTGACTTCTATCCCCACTCCACTGAAATATCTTTTATAAAATCTTAAGTGATCTACATACAAATCTAAGTGAAACATCCCAGTCCTTCCCTACTTGACCATTTTGTTGTTGTTGTTGTTGAAATACTCTCTTGTCTTGATGCCTATGACACCATACTCTCTTAGATATTTCCTCCATCTCTAGCAATTCTTCTTCCTCTTCTTTGCAGGTACACCGCCCTCTATATGTCCCTTATATTCCTTAGTCCCTGTTCTCCTCTCTCTTTACCTCCTTAGATGTTTTCTTGTAATCTTGTCTCCAGGATTTTCCACCATTAATCCTTCTTTCTGCTGCCAAAGTGATCTATACCATCTATCTAAATTATTACTCTACTGCTTAAGATCTTTTAATGCCTCTCTATAGCATATGGGATATATAATATGATACACAAGGTTCCCCCATGTCATGCTGACTGCCTTTATCTCTATCCCAACTTATGCTCAATATTCTAGAAATACCTCATTAGTTGTAATTATCTGTGCTCAACATACTGTTTCATAGTAAAATGTCTCATACCTGGAATGCTTATTCTCTTGTCCGTACTTAGCTAACTTCTACCTATTCTTTCAAATTAATCTCTTGTGTAACCATCTCCAGGAAGCCTTCACTGGTTACCTCTGGTTGAACTAAATGTCTGTCTTCTGTATTCTGAGAGCTTCCTGTGCATATCTGTATTACTGCTTCTACCATATTATGGTGAAATTTATTGTATACATATTTGTCTCACACGCTAAGGTTAAAGCTTTTTTATTTACACTTGGTCTTAGCCAAAAAGCCAAAAAGTAATAAATCTTCTTTATTAAAAAAAAAATAAAGTATATATTTATGCCTAAAAAGAAAACTCCCAAAAGTATTAACAGTAGTCATCTCAAAATGGTAAATTATAGATACTGTTCTTTTTTTCCCTCTTGGCTGCGTTTCCCTAATGTTTTACAATGAATTCACATTTGTTTTTTTAAAAAAAGTTCTTTCTCATGAAAATAAACTGTATCTGGATATCAAAAAAAAAAAGAAAAGAAAAGAAAAAGAAAATAGGGGAGGCCCTTAAATCTCTATGAAAGCAAGAGAACAAGTCAGGAGGGAAGCTGTACTCTATTCTCTTTGAAGCACTCACATGTTGACAACAAGCCTACACAGGCACAGGGCATGCTGATCTCAAAACAGTGTCCTTACACAGCCCGCCCTGACTAGGACCAATACACACAAAGCTGAATTGTTCACACCAAAAGAGGTCAGGTGGACATCCTGCTCTCAAGAGACTGTGATTGCTACGAATCCATGAAGTGTTTATTGGCTTGCTGCCTCACTTTCATAAATGGGATGGGATAGGTGTCTCGGGTAGCGACTATCTGGGGCCTGTATTGCGCAGGCAGTTAGAATAATTTACCAAGACATTAGTAAGTAAAGAAAAGCAGATTTATTAGAGAAAGCAGAAAGTATGAAAATACGTTGCGAGCGTGCCATGGGCAAGTCAGCAAGAGTGGAGCTGACTGCAAGGAGACAAAGGCTTGCTGGGGATTTTATAGGATGGTGCTTGTGCTGTGTGCTGAAGAGAGCTTTGTGCAGTACTGATAATGCCAAGAATGCAGTGTGCTAACTTGTAGGGTCTGGTGGTAAGTTGAATGCAGGAAGATTGTGAGTTATTTGTGCAGGAGGGCTACATGTCCTGGACCAGGAAGAAAGGCAGACTTAGCTTATCTGCTTTTTCTTTTGGCTTTCCCCTGTTCCCACCAGCCTGAGACTTTTTCCCTAATTAGGACTCCACGACAGGCAAACAAAACAGTAAGAGTGGAGCAAGAATATGGAAGATGGTAGAGACAGTTGCTTGGAAGATTCCACTTAAATGAATCCTTCCCTACCAAGAAAAGCCAATTGTCTTTTTTGGACAGACATGGGATCAAAACCCCCTCATCAACAGAAGCCTTTACTGGAGGCCATGAAACAAGCATAGATTTCTGGAAATGCTAGAGAGAACTGAACAGAAGTTATCACTAAAACAAATACTATAAATCTAAAAATAGCCTTTTTGGGAAAATGAGTTTGAATGAATTTTTTTATTCCATTGAGATTTACCTAATAAATAATACAATATAATAATATATACTATTTCATATACTGATCTAAAAGTATATTACCACATATCAACTCATGAAAGCATTTTAATTAATAAGCAAAGACAATATTTTCATACAAGTAAAATAGTCATTTCAGCTCTCTGCTGTCAATATGGGTAAATTTTGGCTCCTTTCACTAATAGAGTAATACAATCTTTCTTTCTTTCTTTTTTTTTTTTTTTTGAGATGGTATCACTCTGTTGCCCAGGCTGGAGTGCAGTGGTGTGATCATGGCTCACTGCAGCCTTGACCTTCTGTGCCCAAGAGAGCCTCTCACCTCAGCTTCCTGAGTAGCTGGACTACAGGCGTGAGCCATCACGCCCAGCTAATTTTTGTATTTCTTGTAGAGTCAGGGTTTTGCCATGTTGCCAAGGCTGGTCTCATACTCTTGGGCTCAAGCAATCCTCTGACCTCAGCCTCCCAAAGTGTTGAGATTATAGGCATGAGCCACTATGCCTGGCTACAGGCCACTCTTACTATATTTCCTCCCTTAGAATAGAGTTGCTTGGCTAGATCCTTGTTTGGGGTTTTTTTTTGTTTTTTGTTTTTTTTTTTGTCTTTCATACAAAGAAAGAATGGTATTTGTGTTATGTTTTCATCATCTGAACGTTTTTCACATTTTTACTAGGTTCCAAAGAAGGTAATATGCATAACTAAAGCACAATTTTAGAAATGGGCTGCCAGGGTCTCTACATTAAAAGGAAATCCAACTGATTCATTCCCTTATAACCACTCATAACTATTCTTACATCAGCCTGAAAGGCAATAAGTGGTTTTGGAAATCTTTATTTAGCTGATAGCTGGATGTTGGCTCATATTTTAACTGTCTTACTGTTTCTGGTTAATGTAATTCCAAATTATGAGAAATCTATTTTGTTCTCAGTATTTAAGATCTCAGCTATTTCATAGTTATTTTTGGCAGGCTTTGTATATGAAATGCGGTGATGAAGAGATATGACTTGAATAATCATATGTACTATAATACATCAAGAAGAAACAGAAAAAGACAAGAAATACATGATCCTGAGCCTTTCAACAATGTTTCTCTTTTTAAATGCATGTCTCCAAAATAACTAAAATCACTTCTTGAGAAAATGTAATAGGGCTTATTTATTATACCTCTTCTTCCTCATTTATCTAATGAAGCTTACTTGTATATACTAAATAACCTAAACATCCTCAAGTTTTACATTATAAAGAACAAAAATATAGAACTCTTCTCCTTTTTATAATGGATACAAAAACCACCATTGGAAACTTTTGGGAAAAATAACCCAAAAACTCAAATAAGAACTTTGCAATTTTAAAAAGCACTCCAAATCAGAATGCTCTTATTATATTGTCTCAACCTTAGCCTTGTGTAACTAAGAAAAATAAGTCCCAGAACTGAGATGAGCTTCAATTATAAAAGATGCTGCAGAGAAATGAACATCTTTATCGTTAATCTTAGTTTTTTTCCTCCAAACACCTGAAATGAATTTTTTTGCCAATTCCAGAATCTTAAAGTCTACATCTGATCATCGAATAAGCTGCTATGTTCAGTATATACCACCAGAAGGTGCCCTTGCCCAAGGAAGAAAGCCTCCTTTCCATACATGCACAGCTAAACTCCACAACATTTATGCTCATTGACCTAAAGTGAATTTAAAATCAACTTTTTATAGATGAAACCTCTTAGAGAAGAGCAAACTCTTCAGGTACTTCTAATGAAATTTTTGATGTGAGACAACAGAAAGTAGTGCTTGCAGAACGTGCAGACCTCTTTAAACTGTCCTCAAAATATGGGGTAAAGTGAGGTAATTTGGTAAAGAAGGATAAAGGATATAAACATAATATTTCTTTTTTTTTTTTTTTTTGAGATGAAGTTTCACTCTTGTCCCCAAAGCTGGAGTGCAATGGTGTGATCTTGGCTCACTGCAACTTCCACCTCCCGGGTTCAAGCGATTTTCCTGCCTCAGCCTCCTGAGTAGCTGGGATTACAGGTGCCTGCCACCAAGCCTGGCTAATGTTTGTATTTTTAGTAGAGACGTGGTTTCACCATGTCGGCCAGGATGATCTTGAACTCCTGACCTCAGGTGATCCGCCCGCCTTGGCCTTCCATAATATTTCTATGCCAAGACTGCTTAGAGAAGTACTGTGCAAGAGGAATATAATGCAAGCTTCACACATAATTTTAAATTTTTTAGTAAGTACATTTTTAAAGTCTTTGTTGTTGTTGTTGTTTTTTAGTTTGTTTGTTTTTTTTGAGACGGAGTCTTGCTCTGTCTCCCAGGCTGGAGTGCAGTGGCTCGATCTGGGCTCACTGCAAGCTCCGCCTCCTGGGTTCACGCCATTCTCCTGCCTCAGCCTCCTGAGTAGCTGGGACTACAGGCGCTTGCCACCACGCCCAGCTAATTTTTTGTATTTTTAGTAGAGATGGGGTTTCACTGTGTTAGCCAGGATGGTCTGCCCACCTCGCCCTCCCAAAGTGCTGGGATTACAGGCATGAGCCACTGTGCCTGGCCTTTTTTTTTTTTTTTTTTTTTTGAGACAAGAGTTTCACTCTTGTTGCCCAGACTGGAGTGCAATGGGGCCATCTCAGCTCACCGCAACCTCCACCTCCTGGGTTCAAGCGATTCTCCTGCCTCAGCCTCCTGAGTAGCTGGGATTACAGGCATGCACCACCACACCTGGATAATTTTGTAGATTTAGTAGAGATGGGGTTTCTCCATTTTGGTCAGGCTGGTCTCAAACTCCCAACCTTAGGTGATCCGCTGGCCTTGGCCTCCCAAAGTGTTGGGATTACAGGCATGAGCTTCCACGCCCGGACTTAAAGTCTTTCAAGAGTGAAATTGATTTTAATTTCCTATTTTACCTAATCAAATATATCTAAAATATTATCATGTCAACACATAATCAATATAAAAAGTATTAGTAAAATATCTTACATTTTCTTTGTATTCACTGCACTCCAGCCTGGGTGACAGAGAGTTCTTATGCTTACTGACACAAAGGAATGCACAAATGCTTTTCTCTAAATATCATATGAAAATAATTGGTCTAATTTCCCTTCATCTCTGTAATCTTTGGACTGCATAATAACCTACAAATATAAAGTAAAGTAAAATAAATCCTAGCCTTGTTTAATAATATCTATGTTCCTGATAGCACCAAACATAAAATATATAGGCATGTATAATAGACCAAAAATTGCAAGTTCCCATATACATAAGATGAACAGTGAATAGTACATGTCATGTGTATAATAAAATAAACAAGCATTAAAAAGTAGATTTAACAAGCATCTCCTTGTTGTCGGTTTTAGAATTCTCTATTCAACCAGCTCTGTGAGTTAGAATTTTCTGAATCACAGGTAACAAGAACATAAAAGTCCTATTTATCATCCAGATTCTCTTCTTTCATAATAAATTATACTTTTACATGAAGAATGGCAAGTTGATACAAAACTATTCTTAACAAAAATGAAAAGGGTTGACTTCTTATTAGGCCATAAGGTCCTGAAAGTAGACTGGGTTTTATTTTTCCTGTCAAGCAAGAGCACAGTTTAAAAGACAACCTTGTTTCTTTTACAAGATGTGTTTATGAGAGCAGTGAAATACAATCACTTTGAAATACTGCAGCAGCAAGAGGTCACACCACTCTGGCTCTGTGGAAAATGGCTCAAGGGAGACTGTCTCAGCCTGCAGGAGATCTTTAGGGACCCCTGCACCCAGTTCCAAGGCACCATTAATTGATGCTGGGCAAAACCGGACTTTTACATTAAGAACAACAGTATGCCCAGGAGGAGCTGGCATTCATCTGCAATTCCTTATACTCCCCAAATTTCTACAAAGTCTTAACTGCTTAATTCTGCAAGATAATTTTGAAATTAGACATGAGTAGCTGACAGGCTGATTTTTCTTTCTGCACAGGAAAAAAAAAAGGAATAAAAATTGAAGTTAGAAAGAAATTTTTTTAAAAAAGTTATGTAACCATGTAACATGGTTGGTTTTATGTTATTGTATTCAAATAACAGTATATAGTGCAAGTAGTTATGAAAAGTAATAAAAAAGCAAAAGCCACCCTGATAAAGAAAACAATGCCTTACGATAGTGGGTAAATTTATAATTTATAGGAGCCTTTACATCCTCCTATTTGATCTTCATAAATTCGTAGAATTGAGGACAGGCATTATTACTTTATTTTATAAATGAGAAAACTAAAGCTTGGAAAATTTTGTACTAAAAGTTGATGAAATAGGGAAGTATGAAAAATGCTACCTGAAAAATATTAGAGACACTCCAATGACTTGAAGAAAGCTTTAATTTATATTCCTTACAAATGAATTATTCTTCTGTCTTGGTAGAAACAGATTTCCTTCCTAAAGGTCTATTACAGCCTTCATGTAATTTTTTTCTAGCCAGCTGGAATCACTTTCAATCTTGCTCAAGTGAAGGGAACCTCTTGGAGGCTTAGCAGCACCTTCTGCAGCAATGTGGCTCTTTCTACGAGTACACTCTCAATTATTCAAGATAACACAGGAAGGCCTGGAGATAGATTACTCCAAAGGCAGCAGAAACAAATTAACAGTTAGTTGAATTAGATAAACTTGAATAAATTAGTGTTTCAAACTATGCATGCTGATACAATGTACATTGATGAAATACGTAGAAAGGAGTTGGGGCTCTCCAAAAATACAGCAAGCAGGCACAGTAGGATGGTTTAGAATCAAACTATGGAGATGACATAGCCCTCATTAGACCCAGAATTAGGAGGAGGCACAACTTGTACCTCTACTGGTTAGCTATACGCATTGATACACTTAATCTCATCCAATAGCAAAATATATTTGCATACTACTTTGAGGCCTGCACTGAGAAGACATATAAGTTTGCTTCAGAGTGATATGGCACTCACACTGACCTCACCAACAGGGAGCAATGGAGTTGCATATGCAATTATACACTGAAATATACAGTAGTCACCAATGACCCCCATGGAAACTTTTGTTTCTATTTTAGTATTTAATTTCATTGACATTGAATACAATGCTTTAAACTGTTTTGATGATAAAGTTTTAGCAAACATAAAATAAAATCTGCCTTATTCATTAACTTATTATCACTTATTTATGATCTATGTCAAAATTATAGTTTGATTTTGAATTCTGAGGCTCGCACAGGAATAGAACAATTTCAGTATATCCTTTGATAAAACTGTTCATATGTGTATCCATTATCTACCTATATTAAAAATAATATTAACATACAGGGTTTTCAGATCCCTGATCTGATCATGCTTGACAAACTTATTCATTCATCAGCATTTATGACTAGCATTTATCATTTAACGCAAGTATTACTGGCTAATCAAGTATAAATACAGTATTCCAGGAACTTCTTTCACTAGATATTTTCAATATATCATTGGTACACATTTATGAATGGTCACCTGCCATATTTAATTCACTGTGTCAACATCTCTGTTCACAGACATTGAATGATCAAGATTTTTTCCATGAGCAATAACCAATTTTACTTTTCCAAATAAAGTTTTTATTTCACTTTTGTTCTCCAAGTTTCTAAACTTTCTCATTTTAAAATGATTTTACATAGTGCTACTAGGCTTAAAATTTTCTAAGACATACCAAGGTTTTTCCTTTTTAATATTTACTTCTCTCCTTCAGAAAGACAAAATTTTAATCAAAATCACAGCATACATCTAGTGAGTTAATAAAAGCATGCATTTAGCTACAACCTATTGTTGTCACCTTATTTTATTCTATATTTTTAGCTGTAACAAAAATTGTTCCTTCCTCTTATCAATAGAAAAGTATAGATTATTTCTGAAAACAATTTCTTAAATTGAAACATTTTTGCTATTTCATCCTCTATTTCCTCTTCTAAAAAAATTGGTTGTTTGACATGAACCAGACCAGGATGTAAGCTGACCATATTTTCAGCAGCCTTTCTGAGGATGATTACCTCTGAGAACATCAATGACTTGAGAAATCGCAACAGTTTAGCTGTTATCTTGTGTAAAATAATATACCAATTAAGCTAACTATAAAAGTGATCCTGACTTCAGGACACACTCTTTAAAGCCCTGAAATTCCTCCGAGAACTACAGGAAGCTGTCTAGTTTGAAAGCACAGTTTGCAGAAAAGTCAGAGTGGTTTGTTAAGGCTGCAGAAAAGTCAGAGTGGTTTGTTAAGGCCCTGATTTTTTCTTTGTCTTCCTTATTTACTTTTTCTTACAAAAGCAAAACTTTTTTTCATTGTAAAACGTGAAACAATCCTAAGATATACATGCACACACTAAGATACAGTTTTAAGAACTTGAGTGTATCCTTTCACAGCTTCCTGTACATTCAAACAAATCATAAACATATATAAAGTATTATTCTGTCTGTGTGTGTGTGTGTGTGTGTGTGTGTGTGTGTGTGTGTTTTGTTTTTACAAAAAAAGAACCATACTATCCATATTACTTTGCAACTGGTATTTCTCACTTAGTATCATGGGCATTACCATGAGTTAACAGATCTAAACCAAGGGCTACATAATATTATGTAACATGAATGATCCACATTTTATTCAAACTTTTTCTTATATGTGGTCATTCACACTGATTTCAGCTATTAGCTGCTACAAGCCCTCAAAATATTACATATATGTTTATACAAAAACACTTTTTTTTTTTTTTTTGAGACCGAGTCGCACTATGTCGCCCGGGCTGGAGTGCAGTGACACGATCTCTGCTCACTGCAACCTCCACCTCCCGGGTTCAAGTGATTCTCCTGCCTCAGCCTCCCAAGTAGCTAGGATGACAGGTGCCCACCACTATGTCCAGCTAATTTTTTGTATTTTTAGTAGAGACAGGATTTCACAATGTTGGCCAGGCTGGTCTCGAACTCCTGACCTCAGGTGTTCCACCTGCCTCGGTGTCCCAAAGTGCTGGGATTACAGACGTGAGCCACCGCACCCAGTCAAAACTACTTATATTTCTATGAGATAGATTCTCTCAATTAGTGGGTCAAAGATTATAGCTTCTTTTCAAAAATTTATATTTCTCCAAATTGAAGATCAAAGTTCATAGGACAACCTGGAAATATATACCAAGTGAAAAATGTGCACATTCTTTGACTCAAAAATTCTAATTCTAGGCATTTTTCTTAAATATATTGTGCAAATGAGCATAATTTTTAATGTATGTATGTACATGGACATTCTTTGAAGCTCTGTTTATAAAAGAGGAAAATAGAAAACACCCCAAATTCAAGAAAACTATGAAATAAATTATGTTAGACACACTCAATGGAACAATAAGCAGACATTAAAATTGGGTTTATACTATACATTACACATTATGAAAATATATGCTTATTGACACAGTAAGATGTTTAAAAATAAGAAAAATTAATTACATGTCACTGTCATAAAATAATTTAAAAGAGAGGGGTATTGAGGGAAAGGATATGACAAAATACTAGTAATACTTATTTCTATATAGTATTTTAAACTAAGTATAATTATTTACTTCATAGGTCTTGTTTATCCAACATTTATTCAACAAATATTTACTGAGTATCTATATATCAGAAACTATGCTAAGCACAGCATTGGAAAACGCAATACCTTAATGAAAATTATCCTGTGTGTCTATGAGGCAGGAAGAAAGTGGAAGCTCAGAAAAGGTGAGGGGAGGGGAGCTTCAGAAGGTAGACAGGACAGGTTAAAGGCTCAAAAAATATTTGAAATTGTATAATCATTCTAACAAGGCTGTGAGATATTACCATATTCAGTGCACTGCAAAATTTCTATAAATTGTCCAAGATTACTGAGCAAATAAGAATGTCTTCTCCATCCTCTTATCCTCCATCTGGCAGCTAGATATGAGCTGAGTTTCCTAGAAAACGACATCTTGAAGATCAACCTAAGCTCTTGAATGACCCTAGAAATGACAAGACAATATCAGAGGAAACCAAGTTGAAAGCCCACAGTCTGGTTGGGCCCCGCATGGCAAGAAGGTGTGTCTCAACTCTAGGAAACAACAGAGACTCAGAGAGCAAAATCAGCCAGAGAATGCCACCACACCTGAACAATCCTAGATAAATCAAATCATGAGTTACACTAGCTGTTGTTCTTCATCATAAATGCAAGGTGAACAATAACCGGAAAGGAAAGGACAAAGTCATGAGAACAGGATGAGCCACTGGATACCATGCAGATCATGAAGGGCACACTTTTCTCTTGTACCTTCAGATGACATCTTGGAGGAGAGGAAGAAGAATTCTGAGATACTAAGTATTTTACTCAAAAGAACTAAGCCAATCAAAACTATCCCAACAAGGTTTTCAATTTTGAAGACTAAAAGTTTAAGCCATCAGAATTATTCCATATGAATAAGTGGACCAAGTGGGACTAAATGCGGGTTTTCCAGATGAAGCTTGTGGACTCATATCATCCCAGGGGAAAAAAAAACGTAATATATAATGGGGAAGAGAGAAGAGTGAGTAGGACATGAGTGCAAGGTAAAGTAGCCTCTGATTTCTTTCCCTTATTCACTGTTAGCCCGGCCCAATAATGGAGTGATAATTTGTCATTCTTCCTTTCAATAGTAAATAAAGTAGCCCAACAGGTTTTTGTTCTAGGCCCTGTCCCAAATTTAATTCTTTGAATTTTAGGCAGCTAGATAATCAATCCAACCAAAGTCACAGTCAGAGGAAAAGGCAAAGAAAATAATCAAGAGATAGAGAAATGAATTTATGAGAGAAACTTTATTGGACACAGTCCTGCATGACTTTTAGATTACAAATGAGAAACATATAAGCCAAGTTGAATTGCTTAAGCTACTGAAAGCAAAAAGCAACAGCATATCCCAAAAGCTCAGATGTGGATTTCCAGGTATCTCAAAAAAATAAAATAAAAATATATCATGTAAACCTGCTTCAGCGTTCTGAGCCCTCACTACTGTTGATAGTGACATTCAGCTACTGGATCTCCAGTACAAGTCAGATGGCTCCCGGCACACCTTTAGCACAACCCTTTCTACTTATCCTGTTGCCCTACCCGATTCTGACTCTTTTCTCACACACACACACACACACACACACACACACTTCCCCACCATTCTTTTCAACCCCCTGTCCTGAGTTTAAGCAAATCTTACTGCTGTAAAGAAGCTGTTTGTATTTAACTTCTTACAAATACATCATTTACAAAATAATTTTGGGCGACTTGTATCTATTACTTGCAGCTCAAAATTATAGAGGCTAACCTGTTTTTTACGGAAGATAATTAACACAGTTTGTATGAACAAGTTCAGCTCCCCTGAACTTAAGAATACTTATCAAATGTCAAATGTTATTTATTAGTGAGAAAATGTAATTCCCACCTGCATCCCCAGAGGGATTTCAGTGACCCTGGCCTCACTTCATCCCTGCGGATCTAATTTGATATCCCCATTACTCTTCCAGAAATGAAGGATTTCAGTGCATATTTAAATGGTAATGAACTCAGTACATTAGATACTAGCTCAAATTAATTCAACTGATACAAACGGAGTACTCATTCTGTGCTATACTGACAAAGGACTTAAACTGAAAAACATGTCAAATTAAAAAGAATGCTAAAAGTGCAGGATCAACTATCCTAGAACCTGTGTAGACTAACAAAATGGTTGGGGAAAATAGACTATATGAGGCTATCTCCCAGGATTTAATATGGCTTTTTGTTTGCTTGCTTTTTTGAGACGGAGTCTTGTTCTTGTCGCCCAGGCTGGAGTGCAGTGGCGCAATCTCGGCTCATTGCAACCTCTGCCTCCTGGGTTCAAGCGATTCTCCTGCCTCAGCCTCCTGAGTAACTGGGATTACAGGTGCCTGCCACCAGGCCTGGCTAAATTTTTTTTTTTTTTGTACTTTTAGTAGGGACGGGGTTTCACCATGTTGACCAGGCTGGTCTCAAACTCCTGACCTCAAGTGATCCACCCACCTTGGCCTCCCAAAGTGCTGGGCTAACAGGCATGAGACACCATGCCCAGCCTTAATATGTTTTTTAATATAACTTTCTGACCTCTTACCCATGAAATGAGGAGACAAATTAAAGTTCCATAATTCCTTCCTATTTATTGTAATGCAAAAGTTAAATGTCTTGTTGTCTTCACTATTTTCATTCCTTCCTACAATGTTACTGAAGTAAGAAATTTATCTAGTCCAAAGAGAAAAAAAGCAATAATTACCAATGTGGGAAAAACTAAGATAGGAAAATAGAACAGAATAAATAAATGAAAAGAAGGGAGTTAAAATGTAAGACTAGAATATAACAAATGAAAAAAAACATGGATTTTTCAGCTCAGATTAAAAGCAAGCTACAACAAAAAATAATTATAACTCACTGGCTTTAATAATAAATGATCAAAAGGCAGTTGGAAGAATAAAAGAAATGAAAGAGAAAACAAGTATATGCAGATAGCTTTAAGGTAGAGAAAAAGGAATGCAAAAGACAAAAATAAAATAGCAAAGCTTTAAGAGAACTTATCAAAGTATTCTTCTGAGAACCTTCTTGGTAAAAGGCTCTCAGAATGAAATTTTGAGAAATATAAAAGGAAAAAATAAAATAAAATAAAACGAAAAAATTAAAACTAACTGGAAAGATACAGTAAAAATAGGTAGAAACTGTACAGAAAGAAAGACAAAATTTAAGATTAGAACAAAAGTGAGTACAGTTTTCTTTTTTTAATGACATAAAATTAACGAATGTTTTCCTGCCTCAGCATAAGCCTCAGATTTTTATTAATATCCAGGACAAGCAAGAAGATAGCTAAATGTGTTTTATTGCATTTTGGTATTAAAATTAATTGTTAAATAAGAACGTCATTAGGGTACTAAACCTCTGAATGTTGGATGAATTTGATACCTTTCCATCATATAGTAAAGAGAATTTCAAATATATTTGTAAAATGTAATTATATTCTCACATACTAAAAGGTTTTGATTAAAGTGGATTCTCAAATACTTAACTTTTAAAATAATCTCTGTGCTGCACAACACTTAAGTTTGCCTAATTATACTCTACTAACCCTATTAGAAGAAAAATGAGACTTTCATATTTAAACTGTAAGTCAGTACTTTGAGAACTCAAATTCACTAAGTATTATCCTTCCATTAAAAGGAGTTTTAATTAGAAGCAGTTTTAATTAGAAACTATTATTTCTATCACCTTTAATCAGTTTGCAAAATCCTCTGTCTCTCCTCAAGCATCCATCACTATTGAGCATCCTCTTCCTAAGATTTTATTTCTCATGGCACCTTTGATGAAATTCTCTACCGATCTTCCTACATCCTCATATTGCCCCTACATTTTAGAGTCTGACTTATCTTTTATTTCAAGATATTTTCCAGTGCTATAAAACATCTCATTTGCATCATCATTTTTTATCTTTCTCTCTTTGCCACAAAATAAGAATCAAGAGGGGAAAAAAGAAAGCTATAATCTGTGGATTTTACAGAAATTTCATATTGCTATTAAGGTATTAAGAATTCAAAGACTGGTTGAATTTTATTTCATGACAATTTCTTTGTACCACAAGGCACGACACACTACTTGATGGTAGAGTGGGAAAGCACACTATTATCTTAACTGTCATAACTGGAAGATGGAAAGATTCAAAAATACCTTTGTGAGTGGGCATTATCAACAAATTATGCTCAATGTCTTCCTGTACAATATGTCATGTAATGATTTATGATCTTCCATTCTTGAATAAGCTAATTCTCTGGTAACATTAAAATACATACAAAAGCTCTGAAAAAATAAGTATTTGAAATTCTCAACTAAAAATGAGCAAATTAGATGCCCAAAAGAAAGTATCTTACAGAAAAGTTATTTCTTAATACCTGCTATGTCACTGAGTTCCACTGGCCGAACAGTCAAAATGCCTTCATCATAGCTTTTCTGTAGTTAGAGGTACAGACGCCTTTTTCATTTATTTTTAGAATAGTATTCGTGCTCATAATGATGGTCTGTGCCAATATTGTTTTCAAGCCAATCTTTGATTACTACAGGATATAAGCCAAAAATAGAAAATAATGAACCTGCAATTGAGATAGGTAGCAGGTAGTTCTGAAGATAGAGTGCTTTGAAATGCCTTAGTCACATCTCACTCCGCTAAAAAGGCAGGAATAGACCAATGCAGGAATATTACTTGAAGCCAGGAATTCAAGACAGGCCTGAGTAACAAGGCAAGACCCCATCTCTACAAATTAAAAAGTAAAAAAGGAATTAGCTGAGCATGGTGGCTCACTCCTGTAGTCCAAGCTACTGAGGAGGCTGAGGCGGGAGGATCACCTGAACCCAGGGGGTCAAAGCTGCAGTGAGCTATGATTACTCACATCCATAACCTTTGAGCATCTACCATTTAAGGTAAGAGAGCACCCAGAAAACTGATCAACTGATATGTATATTTTTTTGCTATCAGAACAATACTTAGAAAAATTGCTGGACTAAATAGGGCCTAGTACTGTGCTGTGAACAAAGGGAAAAAGGTTCCTCAATAATGTTTGAAAAATACTTCCAAATACTCTTTTATGAAACATTATTAGCTTCTTATTAGCATACATCTCTTAACAAAAATTATCAAATCAGATCAATAACAAGTCAATCCAATTCTCAAATATTGCAAAACTGCTCTGTAATGGCTTACCTAGTTGTAATTAAATACTAGTCACTGTTGTGGAGACAGCTAAAGATAGATATTTTATTCAGAGTTGATTTCCAGACATAAAACCATGAACAGACACTTCTCAAAAGAAGACATACACATGGACAGCAAACAGGAAAAAAGCTCAAGATCACTGATCATTACAGAAATGCAAATCAAAACCACAATGAGATACTATCTCATACCAGTCAGAATGGCTAGTATTAAAAAGTCAAAAAGCCCAGGCACAGTGGCTCATGCCTGCAATCCTAGTACTTTGGGAGGCAGAGGCAGGCGGATCACCTGAGGTCAGGAGTTTAAGACCAGCCTGACCAACATGGCAAAACCCCATCTCTACTAAAAAATACAAAAATTAGCTGGGCGTGGTGGTGCACGCCTGTAATCCCAGCTACTCAGGAGGCTGAGGCAGGAGAATCACTTGAACCCAGGAGGCAGAGGTTGCAGAGAGCTGAGATCGTGCCACTGCACTCCAGCCTGGGCGACAGAGCAAGACTCCATCTCAAAAACAAACAAACAAAAAAAAAAAAACAAAAAGAAGGCTGGGTGCAGTGGCTCATGCCTGTAATCCCAGCACTATGACAGGCCAAGGCGGGTGGATCGCCTGAGGTCAGGAGTTCGAGACCAGCCTGGCCAACATGGTGAAACCCTGTCTCTACTAGAAATATAAAAACTAGCCAGGCGTGATGGCAGGTGCCTGTAATCTCAGCTACTGGGGAGGCTGAGGCAGGAGAATCGCTTGAACCCAGGAGGCAGAGGTTGCAGTGAGCGGGGATAGCACCATTGCACTCCAGCCCTGGCAACAACAGCGATACTCCGTCTCAAAAAGAAAACAAAAGCAAACAGATGCTGGTGGGGTTGTGGAGAAAAAGGAACACTTTTACACTGTTGGTGGGAGTACAAGTCAGTTCAACCATTGTGGAAGAGAGTGTGGCAATTCCTCAAAGACCTAGAGGCAGAAATACCACTCAACCCAGCAATCCCATTACTGGGTATATACTGGGTATATAACTGGGTATATACCCAAAAGAATATAAATTGTTCTATTATAAAGACACATGCACATGGCCGGGCACAGTGGCTCACGCCTGTAAACCCAGCACTTTGGGAGGCCGAGGTGGGTGGATCTCCTGAGGTCAGGAGATTGAGACCATCCTGGCCAACATGGTGAAATCCCGTCTCTACTAAAAATACAAAATTAGCTGGGTGTGGCGGTGCATGCCTATAATCCCAGCTACTCGGGAGGCTGAAGCAGGAGAATCACTTGAACCCAGGAGGCGGAGGTTGCAGTTAGCCGAGATCACACCACTGCACTCCAGCCTGGCGACAGGCCTAGACTCCATCTCAAAAAAGAAAAAAAAAAAAAAGACACATGCACACTGCAGCACTATTCACATGTTCACTGCAGCACTATTCACAAAAGCAAAGGCATGGAATCAACCTAAATGTCCACCCATGACTGACTGGATAAAGAAATTATGGTACATACATACCATGTAATACTATGCAGCATAAAAAGGAATGAGATCATGTCCTTTGTAGGGACATGGATAGAGCTGGAGCCATTATCCTCAGCAAACTAATGCAGGAACAGAAAACCAAATACCACATGTTCTCACTTATAACTGGGAGCTAAATGATGAAAACACATGGACACATGGAGGGGAACAACACACACTGGGGCCTGTAGGAGAGTATGGGGGGTGGTGGGAGAAGGGAGAGGATCAGGAATAAAAGTTAATGGATGCTGGGCTTAATACCTGGGTGATGGGATAATCTGTGTAACAAACCACCATGGCACACATTTACCAATGTAACAACCTGCACATCCTGCAGATGTACACCTGAACTCAAAATAAAAAGTTGGAAATAACAAATTTTAAAAAAAATGTAGAGATCCAAGGAAATAGCATGAGCCTGAAAGGCAGAAAATCATGCAGCAAGAACAGGAAAAAGAAAGCATTACAGTTTAGCCTCATATTCCAGGTTTTAACAATTGTTTTCTATTCGGCATACACAGTACAGGGAGAAAATGAGAGTAAGCCACTGACTGATTGCTCCTGCCATCAGAGTACACATTTAAAGGCATATTCCCATTTGCCCACAAGTTTCTGTCACCAGTGGGTAGAAAACAATTCTGTTAAGCATACATTACTTGCATATATTGTAGAAAATAAACATTCCTGAAATTTTCTCTTCGTGTCCTTACTATGAATCACATCTCTGACAGGTAAGTTATTATTTATAAAGTGCTCAGAACAGTAGCTGGCACATCATAAATGCTACAATAGAATTAAATAAAGTAAATAAATAAGTGAAGCCTTGACTCTCCCTTTTGCTTAAGAGAAGGATGGCAGCTACAAGTCCCCAAGAGCACAAAAAAAGGGAACCATTTATGCCAAGAAATCTCTTTCTAAAGAGGTTTTTGATAATGAACTCAATTTCTTATATAAATATATAGCTATGTGGATTATTTCTTCTTATGTCAGTTTTGTTAAGTTATGACTATCAAGAATTTTTTTCTATTATATTTCGTTAGTGGATTTTTTAGAATTTATTGGCATAAACTGGCATTCCCTGTACTTTTTATCTCTTTAGATCTGTAATGAAATTCCATCTTTAATTCTTGACATTGGTAATTTGTGTTTTCTCTCTTTGCTTCTTAACCAATATTTCTAGAAATTTCTAGTCTTATTAATGTTCTCAAATAATCAACATGTGGATTTATTAATTTTCTCTATTGTTTTTCTTTTTCCTTTTCCTTTTTTATTTCTGCTCTTATTTGCTTTATTATTTCCTCCTTCCTACTTACTTTTGATTCAATTTGTTCTTTTCCCAACCCCTTACAATAAAAACAGAGCAATGATTTGCAACTTTTTTCTTTTCTAATATAAGCATTTAAAATATAAACTAACCCTAAGCACTGTTTTGTCACATCTCATACATTTTTATATAACTTCATCATTCAGTTAGAAATATTTTATAATTTATCTTCTAAATTCTTCTTTGATCCATAGGCATTTTGAAGTGTGTGTGTTTTTTTTTTTGGAGGGTGGGGTGGGGTTGTTTATTTTGAGACGGTGTCTCACTCTGTCGCCAGGCTGGAGTGCAGTGGCACCATCTCAGCTCACTGCAACCTCCGCCTCCCAGGTTCAAGCAATTCTCCTGCCTCAGCCTCCAGAGTAGCTGGGACTACAGGCACGGGCCACCATGCCTGGCTTTTTTTTTATTATTATTATTATTTTAGTAGAGACAGGGTTTTAACCACGTTGCCCAGGCTGGTCTCAAACTCCTGAGCTCAGGCAATCCAACCGCCTTGGCCTCCCAAAGTGCTAGGATAACAGGCATGAGCCACCATGCATAGCCTGAAGTGTGTTTTTTAATTTCTAAATATTTGGAGAGAGAAAGAGAATTGGCGGGGGGCGGGGGTTGGGTGGAGGGAGAGACAGAGAGAGGGGGAGAGACAGAAAGAGAGAGAGAGAAGGAGAGAGACAGCAGACAGAGTGTGTGTCTGTGTGTGTGTGTGTATATTTGATTTTTATTTCTAATTTAATTCCTTTGTGGTCAGAGAACATACTTTGTATTATTTTATCTTTTGAAAATTTTTATTATGGATCAATATATGCTCTATCTTGATTAATATTCCATTGTACTTGAAAAAATGTGTATTCTTTTTCTGGAGTAATGTTCTGTGAACATCAGATCTCAAGGTGTTTGTGCTAGAATTGTCTATATTCTTACTGATTTTTCTGTATAGCTAATTCTGTCAATTAGTAAGAGAAGGACAATAAATTATCTACCTACGATTATGCCTTTTGCTCTGTTAGTTTTAGTATCAGATATTTTGATTCTCTAGATAGGTATATGATTGTTTTATTGTGCAGATGAATTGACCCTTTCATTATTTTAAAACATCTTTTTGGTTACTTTTGTCTGATATTAACATATTCACACTAGTTTTCTTTTGTTAACTGTTTACAGGATATATTCATTTTCCATCCTGTTGATTTCAACTGCTCTGTTGTTATATTTAAAATACATCATTTATAAACACTATATACTTGGATCAAACTTTTTAAATTCAGTCTGACAATCTCTGCCTTGTAATTGGAATGTTTAGTTTTTCTGCGTAAAAAATTATACAGTTGGATTTAGGTCTACCACTTTGCTGTTTATCCTTGTCCCATCTGTATACTCTTCCTCTGCTCCTCTTTTCCTGCCTTCTTTTGGCATAATATTATTTTATTAGTATAATAATTTACATCCTATTTAGGTTTCTTACGTATCCTCTTTATATTTTTCACTGATTGTTCTAAAGATTGAAACATGCCTTTTTAACTTATCACAGTTTAATTAGGGTTAACATTGTGCCACTTCATATAAAATACAAGAATCTTGCTAAAGTGTAATTCCATTTGCCTCCAATCTGTCATTATTGTCATATATTTTATAGTATCATGTTACAAAATCATGACATACAATATTACAATTTTCCTTTTAAACATTGTTGTCTTTTCTTTTTTTTTTTTCTCTTGAGATGGAGTTTTTGCTCTTGTTGCCCAGGCTGGAGTGCAATGGCGCAATCTGGCTCACCACAACCTCTGCCTCCTGGGTTCAAGCGATTCTCCTGCTTCAACCTCCCAAGTATCTGGGATCACAGGCATGCACCACCACACCCAGCTAATTTTGTATTTTTAGTAGAGACGGTGTTTCTCCATGTTGGTCAGGCTGGTCTCAACCTCCCGACCTCAGGTGATCCACCCGCCTCAGCCTCCCAAAGTGTTGGGATTACAGGCGTAAGCCACCGCGCCAACCTAAACATTTTTGTCTTTTAAAAAAATTAAGGAAAAAACAGTCTTTCTAATTGAGCCCTATATTTATGATTTCTAATGCTCTGCATTCTTTCCTGTATATTTGATATTTCTATATGGTTTCACTCATCAGCAGCCTGAAGAACTTTCCTTAGCATTTCTTGTAGAGCAGGTCTGCTATAGATAACTGTCTTGTTGATTTGTTTGAAAAGTGTCTTTTATTTATTTTTGTTTTTTAAGAGACAGGATCTTGCTCTGTCACCCAGGCTGGAGTGCAGTGATGCAATCACAACTCACTGCAGCCTCGACCTCCCAGGCTCTGGTAATCTTCCTGCCTCAGTCTCCCAAGTAGCTGGAACTATAGGTGTGCACCGCTTCACATAACTTTTTTTTTTTTTTTTTTGGTAGCGATGAGGTCTCACTATGTGTCCCAGGATGGTCTCCAACTCCTTGGCTCAAGCAATCCTCCTGCCTGAAAGTGTCTTTATTTTACCTTCATTTTGTAAGTATATGTTGGCTGGATATAGAATTTTAGGTTGAAATTTTTATTTCTTACAGTACTTTAAAGATATCTTCTGGCCTCCCTTGTTCGTGATAAGAAATTAACCATCATTCATATCATCATTCCCCTATGTGAAATGTGACCTTAGTTCTGACTGCTTTCAAAATTTTCTCTTTATCTTTTATTTCAGCAGTTTGACTATGAAACTGTTGGTGGTTTTCTATCTCCTTGCCCATGAACAAAGTATGAACACTGTTATAAAGTCTTTGCTAATGCCAGCTTCTGGATCATCTAAGTGCTGTTTCTATTAACTACTTTTTCTCTGGACTATGGGTCACACTGTCCTGGTTTTTTGTATGTACAATAAACTTTAATTTTAAACTGGACTTTATAGATGATACATTGTTTTATTATCTTCCTCTAAGAGTATTAATTTTACTAATTATTATTAATTATTGGCTAATCATTTCAAATTGGTGAAGGCCTGATTTGGCTAATCACTTTAAATTAAATTTAAAATTACTGGCTAATCACTTTGAACTTGTGAAGGCTTGATTTGATACTTGGTATGTATGAGTCTATATTAGTTTTTTTTTTTTCTTTTTTTCTTTTTTTGGGACGGAGTCTCGTTCTGTCACCCAGGCTGGAGTGCAGTGGTGCGATATCAGCTCACTACAACCTCCACCTCCCAGGTTCAAGCATCTCTCCTGCCTCAGCCCCTCTAGTAGCTGGAATTACAGACATGCACCACCACGCCCGGCTAATTTTTGTATTTTTAGCAGAGATGGAGTTTCATGATGCTGGCCAGGCTGGTCTCAAACTCCTGACCTCAAGTGATCCACCCACCTTGGCCTCCCAAAGTGCTGGGATTACAGGTCTGAGCCAGTATACCTGGCCAAATCTACATTAGTTTTTGCCCACAATCCTGCGGCAACTCCTATAGCCCAAGGATGTATTGTTTATTTCTAAGGGGCACCCTTCTGGGGTTTCAATGCCCAAGTTAGAAGGTAAAGTTAGAAGGACTTTACCAATCCTTCTAACTTGGTATGACTCAAACCCCAAACTCTGTCTTTACTGCAGTAGACAGCACTAAAATCTCTGTTCAACCCTTCCCACTGTGTCGGAATTGGTGGGTTCTTGGTCTCACTGACTTCAAGAATGAAGCCGCGGACCCTCGCAGTGAGTGTTACAGTTCTTAAAGGCAGCGGGTCCGGAGTTGTTTCCTTCTGATGTTCGGATGTGTTCGGAGCTTTTTCCTTCTGGTGGGTTCGTAGTCTCGCTGCCTCAGGAGTGAAGCTGCAGACCTTCACGGTGAGTGTTACAGCTCTCTTAAGGTGGCGGGTCTGGAATTGTTCGTTCCTCCCGGTGGGTTTGCGGTCTTGTTGGCTTCAGGAGTGAAGCTGCAGACCTTTGTGGTGAGTGTTACAGCTCATAAAGGCAGTGTGGACCCAAACAGTGAGCAGCAGCAAGATTTATTGCAAACAGCAAAAGAACAAAGTTCCCACAGTGTGGACCCCCTGCTGGCTCCAGCAGCCTGCTTTTATTCTCTTATCTGGCCCAACCCACATCCTGCTGATTGGTCCATTTTACAGAGAGTCGATTGGTCTATTTCACAGAGAGCTGATTGGTCTGTTTTGACAGGGTGCTGATTGGTGCTTTTACAATCCCTGAGCTAGACACAAAAGTTCTCCACGTCCCCACTAGATTAGCTAGATACAGTGTCAACTGGTGTATTTACGAACCCTGAGCTAGACACAGAGTGCTGATTGGTGTATTTACAAACCTTGAGCTAGATACAGAGTGCCGATTGATGCATTCACAAACCCCGAGCTAGACACAGGGTGCTGATTGGTGTGTTTACAAACCTTGAGCTAGATACAGAGTGCTGATTGGTGTATTTACAATCCCTTAGCTAGACATAAAGGTTCTCCAAGTCCCCACTAGACTCAGAAGCCCAGCTGGCTTCACCCAGTGGATCTCGCACTGGGGCTGCAGATAGAGCTGCCTGCCAGTCCCTGCGCAGTGTGCCTGCACTCCTCAGCCCTTGGGCGGTGGGTGGGACTGGGTGCCATGAAGCAGGGGGAGGTGCTGGTCGGGGAGGCTCAGGCCGCGCAGGAACCCACTGCGGGGGGAGTGAGGGAGACTCAGGCATGGCAGGCTGCAGGTCCTGAGCCCTGCCCCCCAGGGAGGCAGCTAAAGCCCCGTGAGAAATCCAGCGCAGCGCTGGTGGGCCAGCACTGCTGGGGGACCCAGCGCACCCTCCACAGCTGCTGGCCCGGGTGCTAAGCCCCTCACTGTCCAGGGCTGGCTGGCCGGCAGCTCCGAGTGTGGGGCCGCCAAGCCCATGCCCACCCGGAACTCTAGCTGGCCCGCAAGCGCCGGGCGCAGCCCCGGTTCCCACCTGTGCCTCTCCCTCCACACCTCCCTGCAAGCCAAGGGAGCCAGCTCCAGCCTCGGCCAGCCCAGAGAAGGGCTCCCATGGTGCAGTGGCAGGCTGAAGGGCTCCTCAAGTGTGGCCAGAATGGGCGCTGAGGCCAAGGAGGCACCGAGAGTGAGTGAGGGCTGCGAGGGCTGCCAGCACGCTGTCACCTCTCACCACCTCTCAGCCATTGCTTTTGCTGGGCTTCTTAAAAACTCCCTCAAGTGTGAACAGTTCAGGGCCAGTTAAGAATTAAAGGAGAGTTTATACATAAAATTTGGGGCTTCCCTCTGTGGGTCTGCCCTTTCTAAGATTTGCTCTATTACTTTCCAACTGTTTTGTCAGCCCTGAACTCCATGCTCTGAGTCCCCAAATCAAGAGAATTGTGGCTTTCTTCTAGAGTCAGAGATGCCCCATGCGTAATAGTCTGATCTTTTCAAAGAGTCACTCTAAAAATCTAATTCAGATCATATCCATGTTCTGCTGAAAACTCTATGATGGCTTATTCTTAAAATGAAATACCATGATCTGTCAAGTCTAACATCACTAAACTCCTAGCTACCTCCTCCTTCCTTACTCTTTAGGCTCCATTAACTTCCTTGAAGTTTTGTTTGTTTGTTTGTTTGTTTGTTGTTGTTGCTGTTTTTGAGACAGAGTTTCGCTTTGTTGCCCAGGCTGGAGTGCAGTGGCACAATCCTGGCTCACTGCAACCTCTGCTTCCCGGGTTCAAGCAATTCTTGTGCCTCAGGCTCCGGAGTAGCTGGGATTACAGGCACCCACCACCATGCCCAGCTGATTTTCTGTATTTCAGTAGAGACAGGGTTTCACCACAGGCCTCCTGAAATGCTAGAATTACAGGTGTGAGCCACTGTGCCTGGCCAATGTTTTTGTTTTTCTTGGTTTTTTTGTTTGTTTGTTTTTCAGTTTGAGACAGAGTCTCGCAGTGTCACCCGGGCTGGAGTGCAGTGCGTAATCTCAGCTCACTGCAACCTCTGCCTCCCAGGTTCAAGCGATTCTCCTGTCTTGGCCTCCCAGATGTTTTATAAATGTACCAAATGTTTTCACCACTCATATTCTGCATGTGCTATTCCTTCAGTTTGAATGCACTTCTTCCAGATTTTCACTTGGCTAGCTCCTTCTCATCTTTCAGGTTTCAATATAACCTCCTCTGAGGGAGCTAACCTAACCACTCTAGTTAGAGTATCCTCTGCACTCCACCCCAGGCATTTTCTGTCACAGCTCCCTGTTTTGTTTTGTTTATAGACTATATCACTAGCTAGAAGTACTTCTTTTTCTAAAATGTTACTTTTTAAATTTCTATATCAGTCAGGACTTTTTAATTTCTCCCAGTCAGGCATTCAGGACGTTAGGTTATGCCATGCTTGGAGTTATGCCAACTCTAAAATCTCAGTGGCTTCAAACAATAAACATTTATTTTCTGGGTGCAGCGGCTCACGCCTGTAATCCCAGCACTTTGGGAGGCCAAGGCAGGTGGATCATGAGGTCAGAAGATCGAGATCCATGGTGAAACCCTGTCTCTACTAAAAATGCAAAAAATTAGCTGGGCATGGTGGCGGGCGCCTGTAGTCCCATCTACTCCCGTGGCTGAGGCAGGAGAATGGTGTGAATCCTGGAGGCAGAGCTTGCAGTGAGCCGAGAGCACACCACTGCACTCCAGCCTGGGCAAAGGAACAAGACTCCATCTCAAAAAAAGACAAAAGTTTATTTCCTTCTCATACTATATGTCCATTGAGGATCAGTTAAGGGCCCTACTCCACATTGCCTTCACTCTGGCAGACTCAAGCAGACAGCGAAGCAACTGTCTGGAAAACTGCTGATAGCCAAGGAAGAGAAAAAGAAGCTGGAGGGTCTGGCATGTGCAATCAAATGCTCTAGTTCAGAAATGCCACACATCACCCCTGCTCTGACCTAACCAGCCATAACTAATCACAAGTACAACCTCACCACGTGTCAGACATGATGAGACAAAAATATCTGATGAATTGCAGGAATGACCGACCACAATTGTATATTTTCCCCCATCAGAATACATAACTTATAAGAACAAAAATCTTGAGTGTTTTGTTATTATTATTATTCACCACTGTATCCCTAGTGCATAGAATCAATCCTCCCACATAAAAGGCACACTAGAAATATCTCTCGAATGAATGTATAACGTCTCTTTTACTACCCTTTCTTGCATACCTAAAGCTAAAATATGTCTAGACTTGCTCAAAGTATTGTATCTAAAGATCTTCCTCCACCCACTGTGACAGTGTTCCGAAGAAGAGTAAAAATATTCTTCTTTCATATTCAATTTGATCTGTCATCTAGAATTCAGCTGTTAAGCAAATTCTCTGTCCTCTTTTAAACATAGATTGTTAAGCACTTGTGTTTACAAAATTCAGTGGATAGCATAGAGTTCAGTAATCTGTTTAAGCTCTAAATAGAAGCAGGGGAGCAACCCAGAAAAAAACAGATAAGAGTCATTTTCATGCGCCTGATCTAGCAGACTCATGGCTGGGGTTATAACAGGGAAAGAATCTGAGAGGTCTGTGAACCTCCATCTCTACAACCCCCTCCCCGACATGGACAGAAAATCTATTCATCCCTAGAGAAAGAAAGATGCTTTTCTTACTCTATGGGGGGATCTGAGAGTGAGAACTTTAAAGACAATCAACTGTGACTTCCCCACATGGCTGCCTCCAGGACCACGCTCCCCACCTCCACTGCTGAAAATACTATTACAAAGTTAGCATTGCCTCCACTACGGACAGGGATGGGGAACAGGCACAGAGAAGAATCTCTCTTAAAAATTATTAAATAAATCAGCCTTCCTAAAAAGCATCTTCCTTCACTTCTATGTCCCACTGGAGGGAGGGAGGTGAGGTGGACAGCCCCATAAAGGAGCCATAATGGGGAGCTGAGAAGAGTAAAGGAACTGCCAGAATAAAAATCATGGATCCTGCATTCTCTCAGAATAAACTAAGACAATGAGCTCAAGGGCGTCACTAAAACACCAACTTTAAATATACCATATTTAATTTAGAAACTAAATAAAGCTATACGGATTTATATGTTTATTGGTGTCTCCCTTTTACTTAAGGAGAGAAGGCTTGTTATAAAGCCTTGTTATAAAACCTATGACCGGCTGTCCCACCTCCCTCCACTTCTCCTCCTACTCTCTTTTCTGTTCCCTCTGCTCCAGCCACTGACCTCCTTGCCACCTTGTTCACTAAACACTCTCAACACACCACTGCTCTGGGGCTTTCAGGGCTGCCCTGCCCTCTTCTTGGGATGTCTTCCCCCAGAAAGCTACATAGGTTGTTCCTTCATCTTCCTCAGATCATCTCATTAGGGAGGGAATTCCGGGAACTCTCTGGACCCCTCCCTAGACTCTCCCTGCTTTATTATTCACCACAGCATTTATCACCCTCTGATATAATATATAATGATTTATTTGTTTATTATCCATCTTTTCCTACTAGACTGTAAGCTCAGTCACAGCAGGGACCTTGTTGGGTTCAATGCTGGATCCCCAGGGCCTAGAAAATTCTAAGTGTTTATTGAATGAACAAAATCAAGTCCTATATCATTAAGGCTCCTGTACTTTGCAAATGAGACAAATTAATGAGCATGATCCACAAATTCAACAAATGCTAAGCTTCAAAAAAGAAATTCTTCACAAACTGGGCCCTGTCACGGGGTGGGGGGACTAGGGGAGGGATAGCATTAGGAGAAATACCTAATGTAGGTGATGGGTTGATGGGTGCAGCAAACCACCATGGCACGTGTATACCTATGTAACAAAACTGCACATTCTGCACATGTACCCCAGAACTTAAAGTATAATAATAAGAAGAAGAAACTCAATGACATTAACACCTTCATAGCTTAGTATCAGTGAGCATAAATCTGTTTTTTCTTAAAGTCTCTTCTAGTGTCACAAATAACCACCAGAACCACACATTTGTTTCTTTCAGCAAACTTGGAGAATAAAGTAAGATGATCTAATGATAATTTAAGTTGCCAATTTTAGAAATAGATTGTTATGCCTTATGTTCAGTATATGATGGGAATGGACTCAGGGAATAGGAGTCCTTAAAATGATGTTATTTAGAATAGAAGAAAACTGTATTTGCACTATCAGTCTTCCTCACATATTCTCTTCCTTCCTTCCCCTCCATTTCATTCTCATTGCCACCACTTCTAAATCAAGCCTTGATCACTTGAGGTCAGTTATACCCCAGCAACTGTGGCACACCTCCCTGCCTCAAGGCCAACTAAGCCTGCATGCATTTTCCTATGATACTGTTTTGATCTCGTCATCTTTTTGATCAAAAAATTTTTCTTCTTTGACTTCATATATTCTGTTTTTTTTCCCACAATAGGTTTATATAACTTTTTACATTTACAAATCAAGAAGGGAGAGATATGCTCCATGGCTTCCTATCATTTTCAGAATGAATTTTAAGCTCCCAAATCTGGAATTCCAGACCCTTCACAATTTGCACTGAAGTTTCTCTTTCCTGCTGCCAGTCTACCCAAAACTACTGATCCAGAAACACTGGCCTGTTCACACTCTACACTGCAACCATTTTGCCCGTTCCTTCCCCACAACTTTGCGCTTGCCACTTCTCCAGCTTGGAAGGCCCTCCTCCCTCCAACAGAATTCCGCTGGAGTTGTAATGGCAAAGCTCAGGTTCACACACAGGAAATGCAGAAACAGTAATCGAACACAGAGACTTCTTTGGGGATAATCGCCTTTGTTGGAGGTGCTCAGAGATTGGCTGAAAATGTAACAAGAAAGCTCTCACCAATTCCATTCACTCTGAGATTCTATGATTCCCACAAACTCCTATTTCTCTAGGAAGCTTTATTTGATGATTTCTCTTCGGTTTGACTTCTTGCCCCCTTCAAAAGAGACTGTCCCTTCCACTCCCACTGCAGTGCTGGCAATTATCATATTTGATAATTTTCCCTCCTAAAAGGCAGAGGCTCATGGCACCTGGTGCTTTCCCTTGCAAATAACAGGTATTCAACACATTTGTCAATGATGATGTTGAAAAACAGCACAGTTCAAACAGGAATAAAGTGGAAAGGACATAAAAGACACTCTTCCCTGAGATACTGAAGAGCAAGTTCCAACTCACTCTCTCAGGTTTGTGTGTATTTGCTGGTTACTCTTAGCTAGTCTGTCCATTTCAATGGCTACATCCTCAACGACACACAAAGTATCATAACAAGCATGGAGTAGCCTAAGAATATCTAGATTTCACTCCTCTGAAATTAAGGGGAAAAAGTATAGTCCAGCCAAGAAAATGAGGTTACTGATGGCCACAAGGACAGGAAGCATTGTACTGAGTTTCTCTGGGCTCCACAGCAATGACAGACTTTGCCCTGAAACTATAGGACTTCTTGTGGGGGCGACTAAATGACTTTCTTTAACCAAAAGTGAGAGCTGGTCAGGCAGGAGGTGGTGCCAGAAAAAGATGCCAGAACACAGGCAATGCAGAGCAAAACTGTAGGGAGTGGCCTAGCACAATCCGGTCCTAAGGCAGACAAGGCACACCGGCTGCCAGTTCGCCATCTGGGATGCCTGAAAAGGCGCCTGTCTGGGAATCAGGAGGCTTCGGTTTATGTTCCAATTTTACTGCTGGCTACTGTTATGACCTTGAAGGCAGGCAGATCAACCCTGTACATTTCTATTTACCCATCAACAATAACTCTGGGTCACAGCCACGATAGGAATCCAAATTAAAAACAATAGGACTGCTTGGACCACCTGTGATACTCAAAATCAGATATAGTGTCAAGGCCACCACAGTAAAACAACTAAAGCCTGTCTTTGGAGAAGCCCCTTATTCCAGTCTGACCCTCTGCATATCCCTAAATCTTCTAACAGCGTTTCTTTGACCCGTGCTTCTATCCAGAACCGTGCAGGGCAACATAGTTACCATATCAGCACATTCGCCTACTTCCTCCCACCTACCACCACTTATTTATCCTTTGGGCACAGATCTCTCTATGATGGGATTGTTAACATCCTTGTTAGTTCATCACACCTCTCAAGTAGCATAATATTTTAAACCCAGTGAAAATATCTTCAAGAAATGATTCTAGTTGTAGGAATTAATAAAAGATAAAAGGAAATAAATCAGGGGAAAATTCTGGCAGCATCATCTCAAATCACAGTACTCTACTCAGCCAGGACTGATTACCCCTTTATTTGAAGAATAAGCAAACTAAGACCTCTATCAATATGGTTTTAAATGAATCAAGTAATCAAGCACTTTTCATTTTCAATTTTACCATATGTTATTTAACCAGCTGTCAAATTCCACCCTGGCTGGTTACATCTCACTAATAGTGAAGTGGTTTCCCTCTGCACCATGTATATGAGTCTGCCTTCTGTAATTCCATGTGATAGCCCCCTTTGTGAAAAACTTCTAGCATTACCTCCCATGGGTAGGAAATGAGAAAAGGACGTGGAGGCAATGATTGGACCTGGTAAGAAAAGAGTCCCTTGGTCCCTGAATGACTCATTTGTATCAAGTACAATAAAAAAAAAAAAAAGTACCTAGAAAGGCACCCTGGTTCATAATTGCTTAATTATAATGCTCTAACCTAAGTTAGTTTATTAAGTCCTTGAGGTATCCTTTTACAGTGTTTGTATCCTCTGTCCTAGGGGAACTAGAGCAGCCAGACGATTCTATCACACTGAAAGCTGCATGAAGCTCATTGCCCTTTAGCGCTAATGGATGTGCAACTGACTGCACTGCAAACTAATGAAGGCACCTAATAAGCAGGTGTGGGAGGAAATGGCCATGTCCTTGGGATTTCCAGCCTTACCTTGCTTTCCTGCTCTAGGAGAGAGAACATAACAGGAACACAAAGTAATAAGATCAGCTTTTTGAAAAGGGCTACAAAGTTCAGTAGCTCCAACACACCAAATCTCCCTCTGAAGAAGGGTGTTCCTGGGAATTTTTTAAAACATCAAATATCAATAATTTTCCAGGTTACCTTTCCTAATCTATCTCATGTCTTTTTAAGGAACTGCTTTTTTATTTTTTTTTCATGAGTGTTCATAGATTTGTGATATATAAAAACTGAAAAAAATAGAAATGTCTATCAACAGATACCATGGGTAAACAAATTTTGACACAGTCACACAATACCAGTCAGAAATAAAAAGGAATGAAGTATTGATACATAAAACATGAATGAATTTCAAAATTATGCTGAATGAAAGAAGCCTGACAAAAAAGAGTATATACTGTATGTTTTCATTTATATAAAATTCTAGACAATGCAAACTAATTTATAGTTGACAGGAGTGGTTTGGAGAGGGAGGAGGAGGATTGTGATGGGGTATGAGGGACTGTTTCATAGTGATAGACATGAGGAACTGCTTTTTTAAATTCCTTATGCCAGAAGGTCACTCCAAACTTTGAAATAACATTTTTCTCTAACTTAAATTCTGTTGGTCACTTTGGGCTCTAAAATTACTAACTCTGTGAAAAAGGACTGGGTCTTGACAATTCAAGCACCTAGAAGAAGTATGATTCCAGAACTCCATACAGACTGGTTGAGAATGAAGATGGTGACACAACATTAAATATTTGTCATGAGTATCTAATATAACATTTTGAGGGGGCAAAGCTTAAAACTATAGATATTCTACATGGCATTTGGCTATATAGACAGCGTCTGTTCAAATAATTTCCCCAAAAAAGTCCTTAGCACTCTGATAATACAATTATTAAAATAATCAGTTGTTGACATTTGCCCTGAGTAGTCATAAATACAGTTTTAATATACTCTCAACGACCATGATAACTTGTTGGTTATTTATACTATTCAGCTATTCAGATCTCAAATTAACACAAAGGAAGTCAAACCATACCCATATCATTGTATTAAAATAATAGTTTTTTATTCCTAAATGTCGAATTCTTCATGTTTTGATATTCCTGTATTACCATGACTACCTTGACCATGCTTTTCAGAATCTTTTAACCTCTTCTATTTTGAAATGATAAAATCATATGTGCAGTTCAACATACCAAAAAAATTCAAACTAAGCTTAAAGCTAAGAAAATAGAAGACAAACAGGCATTTCACTTTATTAAATTCATTAAATGACAAAATATTGTTGAGTTACTTGGTATTGTATGGGAGATATCCTTTTTGTTACAGTAAAATGAAATATACAAACTAGAATTTGTCTTCCCAAATCTCTGGATATATTGAGGATGCTTTTGTCCCCAAACTTCCTGTTTCAAACTAAAACAGACATAGGTACATAGAAAATAGCAAACCCCTTAATGATTTGCATAATATAAACACAAGAAAAGTACATCTTTAGCATGTATTCATCTATGGCAGATATTTAGTTATCAAATTATTCTATTTTTTTAACTACAGCATTTTTAAAAAATCATGATTTTTATGCAGCTGGCTATCTTGGGGTAAGCAAAGATGTATATGAAATGCTTATCAGGGAGGCTGAGGTAGGAGAATCCCTTGAACCCGGCAGGCGGAGGTTGCAGTGAGCCAAGATCACACCACTGCACTCCAGCCTGGGCAACAAGAGTGAAACTCCATCTCAAAAAAAAAAAGAAAAAAAGAAATGCTTATCATAGTCAAGTACAGGTCCACAATCCAGTTTCCACAGTTCCGAGATCCAAAAGACTCTGATTTTTGTAACTAATTTATTCGCAAAACCTGACCAAACCTGAATCCATTTAGTAGCAACACCTAACCTGAACTTACTTGAGTCTGTCTGTGGTCTTTACTTATCCAACTTCATGTAAATATGTATACATATATACAGAAATATTAACATGTCTGATGATGGGGTATTTAGCAGGGTGACCTTAAATAAAGGCAAATGCTCTAAATTCTGAAACACATCTGGCCTCAAGGTTTTGGATAAGAAGTGGTGGGCCTGGGCCAGGAGCGGTGGCTCACGCCTGTAATCCCAGCACTTTGGGAGGCCAAGGCAGGCAGATCACCTGAAGTCAGGAGTTCGAGACCAACCTGGCCAACATGGTGAAACCCTGTCTCTACTAAAAATACAAAAATTAGCCAGGTGTGGTGGTGGACACCTGTAATACCAGCTACTCAGGAGGCTGAGGCAGGAGAATCGCTTGAACCTGAGAGGCAGAGGTTGCAGTGAGCCGAGATCACGCCACCACACTCCAGCCTGGTGACAGAGTGAGGTTCAGAAAAAAAATAATAAATAAATAAATAAATAAAAATAAAATTTTTTAAAAAGTGTGCCTGGACTAAGCTTAGTAACACACACCTTTACTGTTCTGTGAACTGTTCAAGGTAAATGAGCCATCACTTATGTGCTCATGACCTGCTGTCATCACTTCCTTAACTCATTATCTTCTTCTCTAACCAGATTCCACTATGGACTTTTTTTTTTTTTCAGTAGGATAATCACTCCTCCAGTCTCCCAGCCTAATCTTCCTAGTTACCTTTCATTTCACTCTCACTCTTGCCTACTCATATCCTATCAGTTGTGGAGGTTTCACATCGCCTCACATACCCCAATCTGCTTGCCTTTGCTCCACCCCTTATTTTAGACTAGTCTGAACAAACATAAGCCAGAATTATTGCAGGCAGCCCCCAAAATAACTTCTTACTTCTGTTTTACTCCCCAAATCTCTCCCTTTCCAATTCCCCTTAAATTCTGCTTCAAGATTAATCTTGTCATCATCTCACACATTGTTCAAATATTTTCGTTGACTTAAAGACTGTAATGGAAGAGATAAAGTCTAAAGATAGAAGACTGGCATTTAAAGACCAAAGAATTTTGGCCCAACCTACCTTTTCACTGCAACGCCTCTTTCCTAACATAAATTGTTCTCAGTCAAAATGAGCATGAATTCTTC
Source organism: Homo sapiens (assembly GCF_000001405.40). Lineage (NCBI taxonomy): Eukaryota > Metazoa > Chordata > Mammalia > Primates > Hominidae > Homo > Homo sapiens. Next base: position 43,853,984 of record NC_000012.12, on the reverse strand, counting down.
AGCTTTTACCCCAACTCCAAAAAAAAGCTGAGTTGTCTCCATCTTTGCTCACACTTTCTACCCCATGACCTGAAATCTATAAGGAATACCTTTCATCATATCTGACTATTTTAATCCCACTCACGCTTGAGACTCAATTTAGGTCCCACATGGGCAACAAAGCTTTCTTCCCCTGTCCTGGCCCACTATGATCCTCTCTCCTAAATTCTCACAGCACTCACAGTCCATACTATTCATTTGATACTCGATACACATTTTCTTGTATCATCAAGAGTGTTTAATTTTTCATGCATATATATCTTGTCTTTTTAACCAGATTTTAAATTCCTTGAGATCAGAGACCATGTCTTATTTTTTATAAATGAACAAATAAATACCTTTCTATATCTTACAATAAAAAGGCAATACTGGGCCAGCCACAGTGGCTCACGCCTGTAATCCCAGCACTTTAGGAGACCGAGGCAAGGTGGATCACAAGGTCAGGAGATCGAGACCATCCTGGCCAACGTGGTGATACCCTGTCTCTACTATAAATACAAAAATTAGCTGGGTATGGTGGCAGGTGCCTGTAATTCCAGCTACTTGGGAGGCCGAGGCAGGAGAAGAGCTTGAACCTGGGAAGCAGAGGTTGCAGTGAGCCAAGATTGCACCACTGCACTCCAGCCTGGCAACAGAGTGAGACTCTGTCTCAAAAAATAAAAAAGGTAACACTGGCAAAGACAACATGTAAAGGATGAAGAAACAAATTTATTTATTCAATCAAATGTATGGAATGCTACTGTGCCAGGCATTGTTTTAGGCACTGAAAATTAAAAGGTAAGCAAGATCAACATAATCTCTCACTCATAGAGTTTCGGGTATAGCTGGGAAATCAGACATTAATGAAACATTATACAAATAACTATATAAGCAAACACATGTTTGGAAAAGGAAGTATGCAGTATTAACAGGTTTAGAATCATTTTCAGATGCAACACCTACCAACTCATTCTGAGGTGGCCTGCCTTCCAACCACTCCAGTTTCAGCTAAGTAATACCTTCAATGAATACAAAGAACATCATTCTTGTTGAGAGACTGACAGCTCCTTATGGTGGAGGTCATCTGACAATGTGTTAAAAGGGCAGTGTTAAAAAGAAAATGACAACTAATAGAGGATCTCTGCACATGTTGGAAAACAAAAGTAAAAGAGAGAAGGTAAATAATAGGAAAGGAGTTTGTCTGAGAAATACATTATTACAGTCTTGATGTTCTAAAATCCATCCTCAGATAAAGCTATTCAGTCAAAGTAACTTGAACCCTTATCACTTTGCCCTTCATAGAAATGTTTTCATGAAATAAAGCATCACAGGCTTGCTTTCATGATTAATTGTTTTTGTTTGTTTTTGAGACAGAGTCTCGCTCCATGCCAGGCTGGAGTGCAATGGCACAATCTCAGCTCACTGCAACCTCTGCCTCCTGGGTTCAAGTGATTTTGCTGCCTCAGCCTCCCAAGTAGCTGGGACTACAAGCATGTGCCACCACACCCAGCTAATTTTTGTATTTTGTTTTTTTTTGAGATGGAGTCTTGCACTGTCGCCCAGGTTGGAGTGCAGTGGCGTGATCTCGGCTCACTGAAAGCTCTGCCTCCCGGGTTCACGCCAATCTCCTGCCTCAGCCTCCCCACTAGCTGGGACTACAGGCGCCCACCAACACGCCTGGCTAATTTTTTGTACTTTTAGTAGAGACGGGGTTTCACCGTGTTAGCCAGGATGGTCTCAATCTCCTGACCTCGTGATCCGCCCGACTCGGCCTCCCAAAGTGCTGGGATTACAGGCATGAGCCACCGTGCCCAGCCAGTTTTTGTATTCTTAGTACAGACAGGGTTTCACCATGTTGGCCAGGATGGTCTTGATCTCTTGACCTCGTGATCAGCCCATCTCGGCCTCCCAAAGTGCTGGGATTACAGACGTGAGCCACCGCGCCCAGCTGGTTAAATGTTATACTCTACACTTTGATGAACGTTTGCTTTAAGACACAAGAATATGAAATCCATTTCTGCATTTGCCACTTCACCATTCAGCATCTCTTGTACCAAGCACAAGAAAAAAGAAATGCTTTACCAAAATTTATAGCAAGGAAGTTCTACAATTTGGTGCAAAGAAAAAGACCTCTGTTGAACTTACAATTTTCATCACTGCTGATAACGACAGTGATGTAGTTTCCCCTTGTGCTCAGCTCTGAGGAAGCTCAAAACCAAGCAAGGTTTTGAAACCCATGAAATCAAAACAAATTTGATTCTGCCTTTTCCGTGGTCCTGATTTTCTACTTCTACTGTATTATGCATGTATGTTGCAAATAATTTCAATTCCTTTTTGGAATAAAAATTATTTCTTGAATAAGCTCAAGAAATTAAATTCTCCTTGAATATAAGTCCTAATTGTAGGCATAAGAATTTTGGATGTCTCTATTCATGGATATGTCTAAAGTATAATCCCCCCAAAAGCTAGGATGCATTATTAAAACACATTTTAAAAAAAAACTAGAATCATCCAAGCAAATGAGAGAGAGAGGTACTGGAAGAGTATAAACTGACATTCCAATGGAATTTAACTTTTATAAATCCTAATACCCAAAGATTCCATTTTAAACTAAAAAAAATTCTAAACATATCAATTCTGATTTCAGAATTGCTCCTGAATTATGTTATTACCTAAAGAGTCACAAAATCATAACATTTATGTCTCACAGAAAAATTAAATTTATAACCAATGAAGTATATTAAATCATGTGCTCACAGAATCATTCACTCTTTCTCACACATCCCTTAAATTGGCAATACTGTATTGTCCTTCTGGAATCTACTAAGAAGAGACTTCCCATAACAAAATAAATGAAGGAAGACTTACAAGTTGATTAAATGAAAGGGATAGTGGCATTCTATATAATATCTGTGTTTGGTATCTTATTAGAGAATTATATAAAAAAAAGAAGCTGTTTAGTTGATCTCAAGAAATGATTCTGATCATTTTTGTAAGGCATTCCAATATTTCTGTAACAAAAATTTCTGTGCTCGTCATTAGCAATCCCATTCCTCCCAACATACACACAACATCATCATCATCATCATCATCACCATCATCATCACCTATCAGAAGTTTGCATGTACAAATTGTTAAATATGTCCTTTTAAAAATGAATAATGAATAAATGCTAATTATTTGGGAACCAGGGCAGAAACATTTATCATATACCAAGCCAATAAGAACATTAATGTTTGCATTAAATTTTTAATTATTTTCCCTATCATTGCATGGCTGTGACTCTTTGGTACAAGTAGTCACAAGCAGGAGCTGAAGAGAAGACAACTGAAGTCTTACGGGAGGGAGTCAGAGAAAGTGTCACAGAGGAGATAATGCTTGAACTGAGATTTGAAGGAAAATGGAAAACTAGCCAAGGTGACAAAGCAGAGAGGAGCATAATGGGCATGGGAGAGCACATACGCAAAAAAACACTGGGACATGAGATAACATGGCAAGTTTGAGAACCAGCAAATATTTCCCTGCAGTATGTGGAATGTGAAAGATCAGGTTTGGAGTGAGGAAGAAGTAGATCATAAATAGCTTCGGATATCAATCAAAGGAGTTTAGCTTTTATTCTGTTGGTGGTTCTGCAGGTCAAAGTAACTCCATCTTAAATGCTAATCCATCATGTTGACTTCTGATCAACCCTAGTTCTGAGAAGGCCTCTAAGATTTTTACTTACCATGAATCCTTCCCTTAGGCAAATTCCCCATGGTGTATAAGCCCTGCGTCTGGAGGATAACAGGGCAAGGATCCATCATCTCACAGGTACCGAGACATGGCTTCTGTTAGTAAGGCCCTATTAAATGTTGTTTCCTGTGAAAACGGATGTGTCAGCCTCTTTCTTCAGCCTCTCAGCTCCTCAGTCTTTGGGGATAGGTTTGCACAGACCTGCTCACCACAGAACAGTGGTAGAAGCCATTTAGCAATATGAAAAAAATAATTCCACTAGCAAAATCCATAATGAACAAGAGGAGCAGATAACTATTAGGAGGAAATGATTAATAGTTCATGAAGTAATGAAGAATCAACTGCCATGAGCAGAGACAGAAGAAGAAGACAAGTTCAAAGTTTATTAGGAAATTGGATCAGAGAATGAGAGGTGACAAGTTCGGAGTTCATCAGGAAATTAAATCAAGAGTCCTCACCAAGATTTACAGAAGGTTATGATTCCTTCTCTAATATTCCATATAATTTCATAGGTTTTTAGTAAGAAAAAAAGGAGAAACTGCCAAATAGAAGAAATAAAGCTGACTACATCATATAATCTTTTCTACTGTAAGTAAAAAAAAAAGAGAGAGAGAATTCACTTGCATTATTTTAAAATAATTTGTACTCAATAAATCACTTGAAATCGAAAGTGCTTTTTCAGGGCTGATTACTTATACCACCAGGAGAATTAAAATCTAAGCCATAACTGAAATGTGATTTTAGTATAAGAGATAAAAGTTTGCAACAGAATAATTTAACAAAATGTTGCAATTACAAAACCAAATGTCCTGTTTATAATTAATACCATTAGCTTAATGGTGTGATTCTCAATCAATCTTCAATATAGACAGATGACTTTTCTCCAAACTGGATATTTTGGTCTAAATTTGCCTTAGCTTCCTATGCTGAGAAAATTTCTTGAATGGGATCCAAATACATCCAGCCATTGCTTGTAACAGGTATCTACTGTTTTGTCTCCCCAGCACTCTCCATCCATTTTTGGAAAATGACCCACTCCCATTCGCTATCCACCCTTATCCTCTTCTATCCATATAATTACTATGTAGGACATGATGCTTGTTTAATGTTTGGTGGATGATCCAACTGAGTTCCTAAATATTCTCTGTGTCAATGAGCCATCTCTCCACTCCACTTTAGGACTCACTCTCTAAAGACCACACCCTACTTGGGAATCACTACTAAAGAATGGTTTACTTCTGTTACAACATGTCATGTGACCACACCCACAAATCCTTTCCCCTTTCTTACTCCCATCTCAGCTGTTGAGTTTCATCCAAATCTTTAGGCCCCTGCCCACTCCTCCCAGACTGTTACAGGAAGTCAGGGACTCCGAACAGAGGGACGGGCTAAAGCTGCGGCAGAGGAACATAAATTGTAAAGATTTCATCTTAATATGGACATTTATCAGTTCTCAAATAATACTTTTATAATTCTTATGCCCGTCTTTAATCTCTTAATCCTGTTATCTTCGTAAGCTGAGGATGTATGTCACCTCAGGACCACTGTGATCATTGCGTTAACTGTACAAATTGATTGTGAAACATGTGTGTTTGAACAATATGAAATTAGTGCACCTTGAAAAAGAACAGAATAATAGTGATTTTTATGGAACAAGGGAAGACAACCATAAGGTCTGACTGCCTGAGGGGTCGGGCAAAAAGAGCCATATTTTCTTCTTGCAGAGAGCCTATAAACGGACATGCAAGTAGGAAACATATCGTTAAATGCTTTTCCTAGCAAGGAATATTAATATTAATACCCTGGGAAAAGAATGCATTTCTGGGGGGAGGTCTATAAACGGCAGCTCTGGGAATGTCTGTCTTGTGCAGTTGAGATAAGGACTGAGATAAGCCCTGGTCTCCTGAAGAACCCTCAGGCTTACTAGGGTTGAGGAAACTCAACCCTGGTAAATTTGTGGTCAGACCGGTTCTCTACTCTCAAATGCTGTTTTCTGTTGTTTAAGATGTTTATCAAGACAATACATGCACTGCTGAACATAGACCCTTATCAGTGGTTCTGCTTTTGCCCTTTGCCCTGTGATCTTTGTTGGACCCTTATCAGTGGTTCTGCTTTTGCCCTTTGCCATGTGACCTTTGTTAGACCCTTATCAGTGCTTCTGCTTTTTGCTCTTTGAAGCATGTGATCTTTGTACCTACTCTCTGTTCTTACACCCCCGCCCCTTTTGAAACCCTTAATAAAAACTTGCTGGTCTGAGACTCAGGCGGGCATCACAGTCCTACTGATATGTGATGTCACCCCTGGCGGCCCAGCTGTAAAATTCCTCTCTTTATACTGTCTCTCTTTATTTCTCAGCCGGCCAACACTTATGGAAAATAGAACCTATGTTAAAATATTGGGGGCAGGTTCCCCCAATACCAGACCATCATCTCCCTCACCTGTTTTCCATGTCCAACCACAACCCCCTGTCAATCAAATGAATAATGCTTTTACTAGAACTCTCCATTTATTTTCCATCCTTTGTTTCCAATACAGCAAGCCTGAGCAGTCCCCACCCAGATGAATCATGCTGAAATTCTCTTCTGGATGACTGAGCTCTCAAAAAGAACACTGCTCAACAATCCAGATTGGTATCATTCAAATTTATAGTGGCTAACAATCTTCATGATAATCAGCAACCCTTTCATTTGTTCTGAGTCAGTTCACTTCCCAACTCCCTAGGGCCACTGTTCCAAACCTTGACCACTTCCTTAAACCCATTGCATCATCAAGCCCCTCCATCTTTATCATGGGATCTTCTTTTTCACAGTAAAACAGAGGTTATCAGGTTAAAGAGATATCAGGTTATCAGGTTCAACAGAGAGAAGAATATTCACCTTCCTGTTTCTATACCTCAAAAATACCTAATATAGTACCAATCTTTATCTCACCCATGCCTATATTTGAGAAACCAGGGTCTCTCCTCTTGTCCTCTCTAAGCCACCATTTCTACCTGTGTCTTAAGTCCCAGACCACAGAAACCTTCAGAGATGCTATCTTTCATCTATATCTTTTTATCTCCACTTTAATCTAGCTCCTTCTCCCACAAATATCAGCAGGTCAATTAATCTTATCCCCCAAATAAAACTATCTGCCCCACCACCAACAACAAAATTTTCCCTTGGCCCTTCTTCCATTTTTAGCACTTCTCCATTTCTTTCTTCTAGTTTCTCACCAAATGTCTAGAAACTATGTGCATCTATACATATGTGTGCATTGTATACATATAGGCACAAGACGATATAAAATATGTACATCTTATATATTTATATAATAGAAACAGATGGCAATAATTTGAGGAACAGAGAAAAATACATACATAATACTACGTGTATGTGTGTGTGTACGGATAGTTATTTATTTATTTATTCCTTAAAACATTGCCATGGTTTCTAACCCAAACTCTAGACCAAAAATACCTTCAGTAAGTCACCTATTTATCTTATCACTGCTAAGTCCAAAGCTCTATTATTACATTCTCTTCCTAATTGACCCAGCACTCAAAACTACTTTCTTTTCCCCCATTGCATACAGAGTATACATTTATTTGTTTAGTCTTTCTCTCTCCTGTAGGAAGTAAGTTTTTATGAAGGCAAAGACCTTGCCTGCTTGATTCACTGTCTAGAATTGTGTCTGGCATGTAATAAGCGATGAACATCTATTGAATAAATACCACCTACCTCTAGGCAAAAATCGGTTAGTTCAGAGGTGGGAACCAAACCCTGAGACAACTTCACACTCTTCCCTGAGAGTTTAAACTTGAGACCAGGAAAGTCAACCCAGTCTCTCTAGGTAATAAAAATTCATTTTCAGTGTAAAAGGAGAATAAAGCAGATATTATAGAGAGAGACAAACGCATCATAACAGATGTCAAACCCTTGGTTTCATTTATCCCAATGTCCCAATGTCCCTGTCACTTCATTCTACCCTCAGTCTCTGAAATATCCTAACATCCTTATAGTAAGTTACCTTTTTAACTTAAACTAATTTAGTCTCTTCTTCTGTCATTATCAAGAGATCCCTTACTAATATACTATTCTTTGGTTGGATAGGCTCAAAATAAACATCCTAAAGCCAATGTTCAAAAAAAAAAGAGAGAGAGAGTAAAAGTTTATAGTTCCAACTCCCTGAATGAACAATATGTGTAAAATATATTTAATGAAAATGTGCTGTGATATGGAGGCATTTTTTTATGATTTATAAACTCTCTACAACACTTTGGTACTATTTATGAGGGGAAAAGCTATTTTCATGTTCATATCTTCTCTAAATAAGATTACGTATATATCACCATGGAATACTATGTAGCCATAAGAAAAGATGAGTTCATGTCCTTTGCAGGGACATGGATGCAGCTGGAAACCATCATTCTGAGCAAACTATCACAAGGAAAGAAAACCAAACACCACATGTTCTTGCTCATAGGTGGGAGCTGAACAATGACAACACTTGGACACAGGGTGGGGAACATCATACCCCAGGCCCTGTCATGGGGTTGGGGGAGGGGGGAGGGATAGCATTAGGAGAAATACCTAATGTAAATGTTGAGTTAACGGGTGCAGCAAACCAACATGGCACATGTATACCTATGTAACAAACCTGCACATTGTGCACCTGTACCCTAGAACTTAAAGTATAATAAAAAAAATTTTAAAAATAAAAAAAGTTTTTAAAAAATGACTAGGTATATATTCATTTTATCTCTAATGCTCTTTTTTTTTTTTTTTTTTTTTTTGAGATGGAGTCGCGCTGTGTCACCCAGGCTGTAGTGCAGCGGTGCAATCTTGGCTCACTGCAACCTCCGCCTCCCAGGTTCAAGCGATTCTCCCACCTCAGCCTCTCAAGTAGCTGGGATTACAAACATGTGCCACCACGCCTGGCTATTTTTTGTATTTTTAGTAGAGATGAGGTTTCACCATGTTCGCCAGGCTGATCTCAAACTTCTGACCTCAAGTGATCTGCCCACCTTGGCCTCCCAAATTGGTGGGATTACTGGCGTGAGCCACCACACCTGGCCTAATGCTATTTTTTTTTAATGAAGTTTGGTACTAATTTTACCTCGTGCTAATTTTCCTTAGACAGTAGGAAAAGTAAACCATTAACAGAGAGTAGTTGAAGAACCCAGTTACAACCATGCATAACAACTTAAGGCAGGAGGACAAACTAAAATGCCTCCTACATTGGCACTTAGAAATAGCAAAGTTGTATCTTGGAGAATAGAAATTAAATAATTAGTGATATTACATTTCATGGGTCATGGTACTTACCAAACAAACGCTGATGGAACAGAAATTTGCCAGCTATTAGTCCTGTGAGAATGGCAAGTAGCCATAGAAGCACCTTCAAAATCCTCCAGCCAACTCCTCTAGGGTATTTATTTGTAACAAATGAAAAACAGTTTCCAACAACAATAACATTGGCTTCTGTTTGGCTATGAGAAACTGGGTCCTCCGCAAATATTAAGAAGTTAAAGAAGATCACCAAGTAAGCCACAATCATGCGAGACCAGGGATGCTGGAAATAGTAACGAAAGTCTTTACCCATTCTTCAGAACTCCCAGTTCGTAGTTTACCTGTATAAGAAAAGATAGATAGGGTTAGAGGAGGAAAACAAGTAATGGCTTTCTTCTTTTTATCAGTTCAGGTTTATAACAGTTCCATAAAAATGTATTTGGAAAAGATGATACCTGTTCCTACTCATGGCTCCAAGACAAGTCTGAGAATGAGGAAAGCGAATACTGTCCCTTCCCTAACATCTAATCATACCTCTGATCATCTGGGGACTTAGGAAAGAAAAACAATGAAAGAGTATGGGGAGACAATGGGATGTGAGAGGGCAGAACACTGTCCAAAATTGGGATGGTGACCAAGATGACATGTAGAGGCCCTCCCAGGCGGAAATGCAGAGGTGGCACAACCATGGCTCATTGCAGCCTCCACCTCCTGGGCTCAAGTGATCCTCCCACCTCAGCCTCCCCAGTAGCTGTGGCCACAGGCATGTGCCACCACGCCTGGTTAACTTTTGTATTTTCTGTAGAGACAGGGTTTCTCCATGTTGGTCTTGAGCTTCTGGGCTCAAATGATCTGCCCACCTAAAGTTCCCAAAGTGCTGGGATTACAGGTGTGAGCCACCATACTCGGCCTCCTCTTTTTGATTATTACAAAATCAAAACAATATAGAGGTAAAATGAGCATATATTAACAAAAGTTAAACAATATTCTCTCCTCTGCCCAAATCCCTCTCCTCAGAGTTATGATTGCTTATGAATTTGGTGTAATTACTTTCAGATCTTCTTCTAAACATTGACAAATGTATACAGGTGAATAAACTTTTATTAAAATGTTCACAGCCTAGTTATCAAATAATTTCAATAGAGAGTAAGTTCTATGAAATAGCTAAGTCTACAGTAGAGTAGTAGCCCACAGAAAGGACTGGGCAACTTTGCATTGGGTGAATGAGAATAAAGAGGAAGATTTCACAAAGGATATCCCCAAGTTTAAGGTTGGAGGATTAGTAGAATTTTTTTACTAGTGAAGAAGGGACAGATAGAAGGCAAGCCACTCTAGGCAGTGGCTACGGCACATCCAAAGGCACAGAGCACTGCAAAATATGTAATATGCCCACAGTAGTAGGTCCTAACCTGAATATGTGCACTGGAAGTACATAGCTGTCTTAAAATGAAAATGTTCAGGCCCACCTCCAAAGTCTTGCTTAGCTCCTCCTTCTCCCCTCTTTGGGAACCGGCCTGCCCATAAAGAACACAAGCTGTAACTTCCACATGAAGAGATCTGTCTGGGTCCACCAGGGCTTGTAAGTGGATGATTATGTCTATCTAATTCTGGGGTTTGGACTTTGTGAGCCCATTTGGCTCTCAGACTAAACTATGTCTGTTTTTCAGCAATAACACTGATTAAATCTTAGATATCAAAAATAATACAGACAAAAATTTGACTGCCATCTGCCAATTCATTTTTCTTCTCTCCCAGTTTAGTTAGAATTCAGAAAGGGAAGAGGGGGAAGAGGGGGAAGAGGGTCCTTTACAAAGCCTACAGCAGTTTGCATGCCAGGCTCTGTGCTGGATGTCTGCGTGTATCATTGTATCATTTTTGTCATAACAACCCCCTGAAATACTGTTATTATCATTCCTGTCACTTCATTTTACAGGGTGGAAATTGGGGCTGACACAGATTTTGTAACTTGCCCAAAGTCACCTAGCAGGAGAGCTCTGATCTGAATCTCTGAGGCTGACTCCAGGTGCTGATCACCATTCTCTGCAGACAGCCAGATCAACTCCTTGCACCTTCCTTGCCTAGAGAGCAGGCCCAGGTCCCAGTCCCAGGGATGCCATCCCTTAAATGTCTTCTGGAGACATGTTCTTCTCCAGACACAATTATAATAACTCTGTAATATATCTACTTCTAATGCATAAAAAAAAATTGTGTGTGTGCGTGCACGTGTGTGTGTGTGTGTGTGTTGAGAAAGAATCCTTTATAAACCCTGAACACTTGGTGGGGGGAGTATCCATTAATAAATATTCTCACTTTATACATGACTGAAATCACAAAGACCATGCCACAAGCCTGAAGTAAGTCAATGGAAGATCTGAGATAGCCTCCAAGGCTCCTGAGTCCCAATCCAATATTCTGGGCTGACGAATGCCAATTCAACCCACAATCTTAGTTAATGAGGACTTGTCATGACTATTTTACAAAAGCAATATAAACATTGGCAATATAAACATTGGCAATAGAATTCAGCCAAGCAAATAGTGACTGTGCCCTGGATTCATAAGCCTTCTAAGCAATTTTAAGTCCCTTGTTATCTTTGTGAACACTCTGAAATCTGTCCCCAGGGGCTGTAGCTTGGACCACCTAGGAATGGTGACTACCTCAAGAGTCTTGTTTTTGTTTTCATATTTTTCAGTATGAGGCTCATCACCTGCTATAGCAGCAGAAACTTATATGTGTGACTCTCACATCAAAGAGAGCAGAGCAAGTAGTGAAGAACAAAAAAAATGAACTTTTATGTGTTTTCATGATATTCAATGTGTAAGAATGCCAGAATAGGTTGGTTTTGAACTCGATTTCACACAACAGTTTTGGAAGTGTCCACAGACCACCACTACAAAAAAAATTCATCACTGGTCACCAGTGAGTCATGAAAAAGAAATAGTTCCCATATGCCCATCAGAACTAGAAAGGAGTATTATTTAAGAAGCTGTTATTACAGGCTGCTGTTGCTTCTTTCGCCAGTGAAGAATTCTGATATGGTTGCTATCACCACCTCCCCTCCCACCATGAACACACAGAATTAAGGCAGTAGGATTTAGAAATACTACTGAAATACCATTATTATCATTCCTATCACTTCATTTTACAGAGAGGAAACTGAGGCTCACATGGACTTTGTAACTGGCCCAAAGTCACCTCTCAGAAGAGCTGTGATCTGAGCCTCTGAGGCTGACTCCAGGGCCTGATCACCATTTCCTGCAGACGGCCAGATCAATTCCAATACATATAATCTTGACTCTTTTTTTAAATACACGCATTTTGGAGGCTAGCACATACTTATTTTCTTGTTGTTTTTAAGTTCGGAAACTTGCTTCGTGGGCTATGTAATGTCCACATGCTCAAGTTAAATTAGAACATTCAAAAAATTTCTGAGACAGCTGTTTCTCTCCAGCATTTATATTATTTAGGGAAGAGAACTATAGCATTGAGCAATAATCCTGCACTAGTACATGATCTTATTTAATTACCACAGTAATGCCATGAATGCTACTATCACTGCCACATTACAGGGAAGAAAACAAAGGCTCAGAGCAGTTGCTGCCTGTTTAATTTATATAACAAGTGGAAACATCAGGATTTGAATCCAGACTTACACCTAGCCCTTAATCTTTCTAATATACCACAAAGCTGGAAGTGTTTCTTCCAGTAAGATATTTCCCATCATGCTTACAGCTCATTCTTTATTTCCACTAACAATTTCAACTAGCAGAACAAAACAGGACTCCATTATTGATCATTTAAGCTGGCTGGAATTTATTCTTGCCTCATAATTCTGAAGTTGAAGTGATATCTTCTAGAGGGTCCCAAATTTCAAACCCTTACATAATAATTTGAATTAAACCTCTGCTTATCCTCACTTCATGACTTCGTACACAGGCTGCAAATGTTTGCCTAGTCCTCTCAGCCCTACTTTCTAGTTCCTTAGGTACCCCAATATTATCCAGAGAACCAAAACTGTTTTCACCTCTGTAGTGCACATAAAACATCTTTACAATCAGTATGATCATTTGGTGTATCTACTGTTAATTTAAATGCAGGCTTGAGGCTGTTCAAATGGACTATGTTACACAGGGCACATAGTCTGCAAAACCTTTCCATTTTTAAAAATTCATTTCTATAACCACAGATGAGAATGAGCTTTTATCTTAGCTCCTGGCTCACTATAGTGAAATTATCTATGTATGTGTTTGTCTCCCTCACTTGATCATAAGCTCCTCAGAGAAGTGGCTGTTTACTGCCAGGGCACAGCACAATACTGGGCTCATACTGGGTGATCAGTAGGCATCTACTGGATGAGCTGAGTGGTACACTCACAAAGAGAAGCTCCCTCATTGTTTAGGTGAGATGAGAAGGTGGAGCAACCTGCCATTCAACTTCCGCTAAGGCAAACAAAGCGAAGAGAAGCAGTGGAGTCCAAGGACTGCATTGATGACGTGGCCAGTAACAATACTAATGCACCCCCCCTCAACTCCCTCTCATTTCAGCACGAGGTGTTAAATTAATATTTCTAAGGCTAACATTTATTAAGCACATACTATATACCAGATACTATGCTGATGAGCTTTACAAGCATCTCTTAAATTTCATAGCAACCCAATGAAGAAAATATTATTTTCCTCATTTTACAAATATTGCAACAGAGACTTAGAGTTCCGTACCTTGTAAAGAATAACAAAATTAATTTATATCAGAGCCACAATTTAAATCCAAGCCACCTGGCTTCAACACTCCATGCAATGCCTTCCACACACAAGGACATAAATTCTAAAATCTTACCCTTTACGTTAGTTAGAAAAATAAAGCCATCTGATATTAAAAAAAAAAATCACAGTACTTCTATTTTGTGCAAAGGCACAAAGGAAACCGCCTGGGGCTGATGTAGAGATGTATCACTAGTTCTGTGTGGCTGGAACACTGGGTGCTTGGGGTTATCCTGTGAGAGTTAAGGATAATTTGGAGCCAGTCCAACAAAGATTATCCAAAAGTGTTGGTCTGTATTTTACTGAAAATAGAGAATTATCAAAAGTTTCAGAGCAAAAGAGTGCTGATCATCATATAAAAGTGATGATGTACAGATTTGTTAATTCCATAATAACATTCATTCATTCATTTGTTCAACATTTACCAGTTGCCTATTTTTTGCCAGGCACTGGCCTATGTGCTAGGGTAACTACCAGACAAAGTCCTGTTGCCATGCATCTGATAGTTTCTTTGAGGGAAACAGATATTAAACAGATAAAAACTAAACACAGTATTTAAGAAAGTTCAAAGAGAAAATTAAAGCAAGGAAAAGTTAACAGGGAGTGTCAGGTGTGAGGGAAGTTGAAGACCTCATTATAAGGTGACATTAGAAGACAGGCATGAAAGAAGGGAGAGAAGACAGCAGCTATCTAGGGAAAGTGTGATCCAGATAGAGGGAACAAAACTTGGAAAGGCCATTGTTGGGTGCACATTTAGAGCAAATTAAGGATCGTTAAGGAGGGCAGTATGACTGGATGGGGAGCAGGTGCAGGGGAGTATGAAAGAGATTAGGTACAGAAGGTAGCATCTGATCATGAGCAGGCCTTGAAGCCCTCGTATGTGGGCTTTCACCCTGAGTGGGACAGGAAGCAGAGGAGGGACACAATCTGACTTATATGACAGAAAGGCCTGTCTGTTTCCTGGTTGAAAATATTTTGTAAGAAAGGAGGGCAAGGAACAGAAGCAGGGAAGCTACTGAGGAAGCCGTTGCCAAAGATGCAGCAACTTGGACCAAGCAGAGAGAAATTAAGGCAGTTTAAACAACTCTGGTTCTGGACACATTCAAAAATAACTAATAAAATTTACTAATACATTGGATGTAGATGTGACCTAGGCAAAATCCAGAATGGAACTGCCATTTCCTGAGATAGAAAATGCATTTCCTGAGATGGAAAATGCATTTCCTGAGATGAAGAGGGATGCAGTAGATATAGACAGCAAACTTGTAATTAACACTTTTTAGTGCTTTTAGGGGTTGGGCTCTTGGAAATCACTATCCATGTATTCTCTCAATTATTCCTGATACCTGCCATTTGGATTTACCAGTGAAGAAACAGAAATTCAGAGAGGTTATGATCTGTCCAGGGTCATAAAGCTACCAGCTGACAGAAACAGGCACGACTACCTCTATATAACCCCAAAGTTATTACTCTTAGTTACCATTGTGTGAAGTATAAAACACAGAATAAAATTCCAATGGGAAGGAAGTAAGAGTAAGTACTAAGTGATGACTTGAATCTAGTAGGCCCTCTATAGATATTTGCTGATGGATGAATAAATGAATAAACAGATGTATGGATAACACGTAACAGACCAGCCTGGGTGAGGGAAAAAAAAAAAAAAAAAACTGGAAGACTCCATTCCAGAGAGAGTAGAGTCTGGATAATACATATCCAAATCTGCAAAAGGATAAATGGAAGAAAGGTGAAAAACCAAATATATGGAATGTCCTCAAAGAGCTACAAACTTTCAAAAGCAATCTCAGGTGGCAAAACATCATTTCTGTTTTTGTCTATTAGTGGTATGGGGATGTGGGGGTGGGGAGAGGCAGAGCCCACAAGGGGTATGAAAAGTCTTATACTTACTTTCCAACCTACCTGGTCTCACACACACACATATGTACACATACACACAGACCAGTCCTGAGGTAATGACAGGTCTGAGTACATTATCTTAAATTGTTAGATAAAAAGGCAGGAAAAGATTATACATAGCATTTTACATAATGCAAGTGCCTAATACAGGTTAAAAAAAAAACACAAATAGCAATAATAACAGAAATAAAGTTAGAACTTCTTACTTTTAGTCTAATACAAAAGACCACAGGGGCTTTTAAATAAAAAGCAACCTTTTAAGTCAATCAATAAAACCACCATAAGTGGTTCTGATAGATTCCAGGATAATATTTGTGGTACCTTAGCTAATTTAGAGGTTTACATCTATAAATCACTTCCTAGATTTTCTCTTCACATTGTCTCAACCTTTAAGTGATTTTTCTTCCCTTGTTCCTATCCTGCAGTCCTTGGGTAAACAAATTGCTTAATCAATGCAAGTTTTTAAAACAGCAACTCCAAAAGCAAAGTAGGTCTAGGGGTCCTCTGAACAGAGAAAACTCTCCATTGAAATGGCAAAATATTTATGAGCCGGAGCACATTATAAAATTAAAATATAATCACTACTATATCCTTTAAAAATGTTTAGACCTCCTTTTCAGTGATTTGTTTGCAATAAGGAATTGCCAGCCCGGAGCAGTGGCTCACACCTGTAATGTCCGCATTTCTGGAGGCCAAGGCGGGCGGATCAC
Source organism: Homo sapiens (assembly GCF_000001405.40). Taxonomy (NCBI): domain Eukaryota; kingdom Metazoa; phylum Chordata; class Mammalia; order Primates; family Hominidae; genus Homo; species Homo sapiens. Next base: position 43,837,580 of record NC_000012.12, on the reverse strand, counting down.
GAAGTCAAGAGTTCGAGACCAGCCTGACCAACATGGTGAAACCCCATCTCTACTAAAAATACAAAAATTAGCCAGGCATGGTGGCGCGCGCCTGTAATCCCAGCTACTCAGGAGGCCGAGGCAGGAGAATCCCTTGAACCCGGGAGGCGGAGGTTGCAGTGAGCTGGAAATCATGGCACTGCACTCCAGCCTGAGCGACAGAGCCCGACTCCATGAAAGAAAGAAAGACAGAAATTAAAGAAAAGAAAAGAAATTGCCATGATCATATTCCAAACACAATGCCAAAGAAAAACACATTTAATGAATTAAATAGAATTCATGTGAAAAGTTTATTTTTTAATGACAGCTTAAAGAAACTTAGATAAAACTGACAAGAGCCAGTTTCTCATCACACGGATCAGATGGAGGGTGGAATAGGAGGGATAAATGCCTGAGACAAAATGTCAAAATCCATAATTACTTTTAAACTATAAAGACTTGGGGGATAAAAGAAAGTATATCCATGGTCAAATGTCAATACTTTACAAAAAAAAATGGGGTTTACAGGGATTCAACTACTTTTATATTCAATAAATTGGAAGACCTTGTTTCTGAAGCCAAAACAAAACCCTGTAGCTTCCTAGAAGTCCTTCCTTGGATTTCAGACAATACATCATTTATAATTGGGGGCAATACATACCCTTATATTCAACATACTTTTACTCATTTTTTTTCCTTTTTGGTTCCTGATAAGCATGTGATGTTTACTCCCGTGTCTCTCTCTCTCTCACACACGCACACCCACACACACATACACATACTTCATTGTTCCACAGAGGGTAGAACACACTTGTGGGCCTGTGGCATTTTCAAAAATAGGAATGAAAAAAAATAGTTTTATTTAGTCACGATGAAGTTAGCAAACACCCAAACACCCAAGTCTTTGTTTTTTTCCCAAGAACAACACCTACGAACTGCAACCTGTTAATTTAATTAAGAAAAATAGGGCTTTTACTCAGTTCCTAGGCTAGGAATCGCTGAAGCAAGGAAAGTTCAAGGTCTGCTCTCCCGCCGTATCTCTGCACACACACTGGAGCCGGGAGTTTGAGGACTCCCACCAAGAGCCTTTCGCCCGGGAGTCTCCTCTGCCCTTAGCCAGAGGGCTGGCGCGTCCCCCCTCCCTCCTTGACACTTCACCCTGCCTCTTTGGCTGCCATCCCCAGGAAGGCAGGAGCAGAGGCGCCGGAGAATTCGGGGGCCGGGCCGGGGTTCCGCGGCTGCTTCCGCACTCGCGGGCAGTGACGAGGTGGCAGCCGGGACACGGGCGGCAGGGCCGGGAGGGCTCCGCTGCGGCTGGACCGAACGGCTGGGGAGGCTCGCCCAACGCCCGGGCCCACGTACTCACCCGAAGGGTCGCGCGGGGCGCGGGGCGACTGCACACGGGATTCGCGGTCGAGCACAGCCCTCGGCGCGCCGGCGGCCTCGCTGGGAAGCGCGGCGAGACGGGCCGGCGGCGTCGCTGCCGCTGCTGCTGTCACGGAGCTATAAATACCGGCTCGGCCCACACCCGCCGCCGCCTACGCCGGGCGCCCTCCGCGCCGGTGCTTCACCGCGCCGCGCTCCCGCCGCAAAGTCCGCGGCCGCGGGCCGGGCAACGCGAGCGCAAGGGCACCGGCGCCGCGCAGGTGACCGCGATCATGCCAGCTGTGTGCAACCTCTGCAGCTGGAGGCATGGCTTCTCCCCGCCCCTGCCCTCTCGCCCGCACCACGGGCTGACTCCAGCCCGCGGGCCGCGTGCGCCACGGGCCGAGCCTGCCCGGGCCGGCCCGCCTCTGCAGAGCGGCAGCTGCAGGCGAGGGACGGACTCAGGAACCTGGTGGGGGTTGGGGGGCGGCTGACAGAAAATCCACCATCCTGCAGGGAACCAATGAGGGTCCCACTGGAATGTCCTCGAAGAGCTACAAACTTTCGAAAGCAATCTCAGGTCGCAAAACATGATTTCTGTTTTTGTCTGTTGGTGGTGTGGGGATGTGGGGGTGGGGAGAGGCAGAGCCCATGAGGAGTATGAGAAGTCTTCCACTTACTTTCCAACCTGCCTGGTATCACACACACACACACACATATGCACACATACACACATTCATACACACATAGAGATGCACAAATACACTCATGCATACATATGTATACACACATAAGCACACGTATACACATGCATACACACATATGTACATCAGCACACATACTCATGTACAATTTTTAAAGTTTTTGCAGTCTGAGGCTCTCCGGAGCCTGTCATTCTATGATACCTAAATGATACCTCTGCGGCATAGGGCAGGAAGACCCTTTGACTACATCTGACCAATTCCTCTCTTCCTGAATGTAACCTCCTTTCCATCATGTATGTGTGGCCTCTGTTTCCTTCCACACCTAATAGCAACTGCTACCTCAGTTTACCGGTTGCTGAAAACGTGTTAACAGCTGCTATCCAGCATGCTAATATTTTGTGGTAATGGAAGTTATCACTAGTGTATATAATCAAATGGAAAATAGGATTTCTATATGCCCATATTAGCAAACTTATGAAGGCAGAGCTAGGCCCTCCCCTGTACTGGTAGCCTGATTCAGGAATGGGTGGATGGCAAGAGGGAGAACTGAGATGTCCGCGGATTTTAAGATGGGATGGAGAGAGCCATGCCCAAGTGCCATAGGGTAGTTTATCTGCATAGGCATAATTGGGAATTCACTGCCATACTTCCCACTAATTTGACATTTTTCTAGCTTCCAAAAATGACCACGTATATATGGATATATATAAATATGCCTCTCATATATATGAGAGTGAACTCAATCCACTGCATAATCAATTGAACTACATGGGTGTCTACTAAAATGAGCTTCAGTTCATCAGAACCGAAATGTCATTCAGCAGCTTGTCTTCTGTCTTCTTAAGAAATAGAACCCCCACATCCCCACACCACTGGATATATAGTAGTCAATCATTTGTGATCATTTTACAGAACTCTTAACTAGTAAGGTTCTCTTTTGTAATGCTTTAACAAGTTTTGCCAGAAAGAGTTGTTGCCTATGCTAGCACTTGGTACATTTTACTATTACACTTTTGTTGTTCTTTTTTGCAACTTCTTTTTTCTCCCACTACGCTATGAACTCTTCAAGGGCAGAGATTAAATCTTACTCATGATTGTATCCTTAGTACCTAACATAGTAAGTTATAGTAATGGCTCATAGATAGTGGATTAATTCCACATATTAGTCATTATATTCCACTGTGCTTTTATAACTGTAATTAATATTATTCTCTAAAGAATTTTTAAACTGTTACACGTGGGTAACTGTTTAACAAAGGTTCCATATGCTATATTTTCCTTGTATCTCCATTTAAAGCAAGGACTCTTCAGTCAGTTAAAACTGAAAAATAGTAAAGCTTCACAAATTATACAGAATACTGAGGTCTGTAATTTATTTCTTTTATTACTACTATTTTCTTTGAGACAGAGTCTCACTCTGTACCCCAGGCTGGAGTGCAGTGGCACAATTATAGCCTACTGCAGCCTTGACCTGCTGGGCTCAAGTGATCCTCCCACCTCAGCCTCCAGAGTAGATGGGACAACAGGCACACACCACCACACCTGGCTAATTTTTGTATTTTTTGTAGAGACAGGGTTTTGCCACATTGTCCAGGCTGGTCTCAAACTCCTGAGCTCAAGTGATCTGCCCACCTCATCCTCTCAAAGTGCTGAGGTTACAGGTGTGAGCCACCATGCCCAGCCTATTTTTTTTTTCTTTTTTAAAGAGACAGAGTCTTGCTCTGTCACCCAGGCTGGCGTGCAGTGGTGCAATCACAGCTCATTGCAACTTCAAACTCCTGGGCTCAAGCAATCCTGCTGACTCACCCTCCCAAGTAGCTGGGACCACAGGTGCACACCACCACACCTAGCTAATTTTTTTTAATTCTGTAGAGACAGGGTCTACGTTGCCCACCTGATTGTGAACTCCTGGCCTCAAACCATCCTTCAGCCTCGGCCTCCCAAAGTGCTGGGATTTCAGGGTGAGCCACAGCACTCAGTTGAGGTCTGTAATTTGTAACCCCCTGTCACCTCCAGACAAAATAAAATAAGGGAAAATAAAGGAAAAGAGGAGGCACTTTCCTTTTCATTGAGAAAGAGGCTGAAAAATATATTGTATTTCAGGGGATAGTGGGATAAAAATCATTCAGCAGCTTGTCTTCTGTCTCCTTAAGAAATAGAACTCAATCCACTCCATAATCAATTGAACTACATGAGTGTCTACTAAAATCAACTTCAGTTCATCAGAACCGAAATGTCTGGCATCACTTACATGGAACTTGTTAGCCTACCTTTAGACCTTTAGATCTCTCTTCATATAATAATAATTTTAAGAATAAGCTCTACCAATGCTTACTATTTATTGTTGAGAAACCTCAGGGCTTAGAGAGTGTAGTTCTCTAGGACCACTTCAAGGCAAAATACTGAAATGGGCAAGGCTTGTTTTCAGCATCAATGTTCCCTTTTTAACCACTGACCAAGAAGCCTGTGCCCTTTGCCTTGGTAGCCAGCCATGATCTCCAGCTCAGCCCTGTTTCAGAACTGGACAGAGGAATAGCCTCTCAGTTTGATCACAATAACAATTAGTGACAAAAGCTCAACTTATTGAAGGCTTATTGTATACCAAGCTCATTACATGTATTAAAGACCTGTGAGATAGCTGCTAAACACGGAGTATCCCTCTCTACATTTACCTTTGAGGAGACAGGCATACTGAGATTGAGTAGTTCATTCAAGATCTCACAAGTAGCCATAGTGGTAGAGTAAGGATCAGAAACCAGGCAATGTGGCTTGTCAGCCCACGTTTTAACCTCTCATCTTACATAATACTTCCTCCCCATATAAGAGGAAAGAGATGTGGCTTTTATGGTTAGGAGACCTGATATAATGAATATTGGTATAAATTCTGGCTCCACTGCTTACTCGCTATAAAGTTATACAAATTGCTACTGAAAAATTACAATAGGAATCCCCAGATCTTCCTTCTTCACCACTGAAGTGGTGAGATGTTAGATCCGGATGTGGACTTAGGAGCTCAAAGTAGGTCACTGAAATCTGTTCACAGAGAGATCTCACTCAGGATTTCAGCTACTGTTCTTCCTATTCTTCAGTCTCCTTCCATCCCAATCACTACCACACAGACCTATTAGGGGTTTTAAATGACCAACATCTATAAAACACCTGTAGTGTCTGCCATGTAATAGGTAGTCAGTAAAGGCCATTCTTCCTTCCTATCAAACATTACCGTTCTATGAAAACTTTCCTCTAGGTCAAAATCAATTGGCCCAGTAGCCAGGTGGTGATTGCTTACTCACGCAGAGTTAACCACTTCTTCAGTGTTGGCCAGCAATGATTTTCAAAGGGTACAGATAGAAGTTCCAAAAAGAAACCAAGATAGTAGGGCATAAATCTCCCACTCTTTCCTCCATATTTTAGCCCAAACAACTCCATTTCTTTTATATGCAGGAGTTTAGCCAATTGGCCACAGTTTCAGAGTGTCAGGGTAACAATAGAAATAGTTTTTCAAAACTCTCAGATCACACTAGTCAATCATCTGCCTACTCCACCTCCACATCTGAAGTCAACCCTGCAAATAGGCTTAAAATGTGTGTTGTTTACATATCATTCCTTTGTAAAATCTGATCCAAGAGTTAAAAAAACAGAAAGAAGTAAGGCCGGGCACGGTGGCTCACTCCTGTAATGCCAGCACTTTGAAAAAGCTGAGGTGGGCAGATCACAAGGTCAGGAGTTCAAGACCAGCCTGGCCAATATGGTGAAACCCCATCTCTACCAAAAATACAAAAATTAGCCAGGAGTGGTGGTGCGCACCTATAGTCCCAGCTACTTGAAAGGCTGAGGCAGAAGAATCACTTGAACCTGGGAGGTGGAGGTTGCAGTGAGCCAAGATTGCGCCACTGCACTCCAGCCTGGGTGACAGAGTGAGACTTGGTCTAAAAAAAAAAAAAAAATCAGAAGTAACCACATGAGACATGATGTTTTTCCGTTCACCTCACATGTCCCAGTACCTCAATAATACATTTCAGTCTTTATTAAAAAAAAAAAAGAAAAAGACAAGATCAATGCTCAATGTACATTTCAAAAATTGGTGAGAGCTTTCATTATGAACCAATTTATCCTCTCTAAATGGCATTTTGAAAGCCAGGGGAAAGTATAGGTGTAATCATCAGTAACCTCTACCAAGTCAATCGGGAAATGCTTTTGTCAGTGATTAGATGGACTCTGAGCAAAACTATTTTTAACTTCCAATAGGTCAGTCGGGATGATGCTAATTACATACTCTGAATATAAACAGCATAATTTCCTTATTGCCAAAGAGGCAAGAATAGAAATTGCCAACCAAACACAGACAAATTATGATCCATAATTTTCTTTGGCAATTTTCTAAGGGCAATGACTCTACTGCTAGGATTTTCCTCAACAATCCTAATTTCAAGTGTTCATTCTCATTGAGCCCAATGCATGCTGATATATTTTAAGCCCCATATCCTGAATTTTGCTTGTGAAAAGATGGCCATCACATGTATGTTGCTTGGAATACTAGAACCCGTGCTCTGAAATCCCCATGATGCCAACTAGTAGCAATATGATATCAAGCAAATTAATTAACCTCTTTGTACTTTAGAAGTAGCTGCTTTGCATGTCTTAGAGGGATTAAAAAATGAATGTTACACTTTTAGCATTTGGTCTGGTATGTATTAAATTTTCCATAAATGTTGGCTCTTTTTATCATCATTATTATTCATTTCACCCCTGCCCTGCTTATATTCTTCATGTCCCACAGAGTTTTTTACTAAAAGAACTGGTTCACCTAGCCTTGGCTTAACCCTATAAATGGCTGGGCAAAGGTACTTTTCTAAACAGTTTTCTTTTTTTTTTTTTTTTTTGAGACAAGTGTCTTGCTCTGTTGCCCAGGCTGGAGTGCAGTGGCATGATCTCGGCTCACTGCAACCTCTGCCTCCTGGGTTCAAGCGATTCTCCTACCTCAGCCTCCTGAGTAGCTGCGATTACAGGCGTGCACCACCACGCCTGGCTAATTTTTTTTGTATTTTTAGTAGAGACGGGGTTTCACCATGTTAGTCAGGCTGGTCTTGAACTCCTGACCTCGTGATCCACCTGCCTCGGCCTCCCAAAGTGCTGGGATTACAGGCATGATCCACCACGCCTGGCTCTAAACAGTTTTCAAAGCAAAGGAGTCATGCAAACAGAGGGTGGGCTAGCAGTCACACCAGAAATACAGCTGTTACTTGCGTGGTGGGGTGGTCAGCATCACTCCTGATTCATACACAGGGCTGTCCTGCAGAATCTATATAAATGCAGCAGTTTCTTCACAGGGCTATTACCTTGACAGAGAGGGGCAATTGTGCTGCTGCCTGTCCCCCTACAGTTCCTTTTTTTTTTTTTTTTTTTGAGACAGAGTCTCGCTCTGTCACCCAGGCTGGAGTGCAGTGGCGCAATCTCGCCTCACTGCAACGTCCGCCTCCCGGGTTCAAGCACATCTCCTGCCTCAGCCTCCAGAGTAGCTGGGACTATCGGCACGCACCACCACGCCCAGCTAATTTTTGTATTTTTGGTAGAGACGGGGTTTCACCATGTTGGTCAGGCTGGTCTCAAACTCCTGACCTCGTGAGCCACCTGCCTCAGTCTCCCAAAGTGCTGGGATTACAGGCGTGAGCCACTGCTCCCGGCCTACAGTTCCTTTTACTGCCTCTTGCTTTCTCCTCTGCCCCATGCTCACTCCCACATACACAGAGGCTCCCACTTCCAGTGTGCAGTGCTTAGATGACCTCATAAACAGGAATGTGACTGCTGGTTTTAAATGGCAAATTTGCCTTTGGGGAGTTTTGAGCTGACGTTCCCTTTCTTCGTGGTTCAAAAACAAATGATCTTTTTCTTTCTTCAAAACTTTTTTTCTTCAAAACAGACCTCAGACAAGTTTGATAGACCTAACCCAAGGTAGAAGGGAGGCTTAATCTGGGGGAACAGAATAATGTACTGGCTTTCGAGAGCTCTTGACTTCATGTAAAGTACCAAATACACCACCCAATCAATGAACATCTCCAAGCAACTAGTCTATCAAGCACTTGAAAATGTTGAGGTTTCTAATATAAATACATTGTGTCTATTTCCTTAGGGTACTCATCATCTAAATGAGCAGACAATAGATGGCTTATAATCACCATAAATAGTAATGCAAGGTTACAGATGATCGGGGCTAAATGCATTGTACTGACCATAAAGGCTACAGAAATCTGAAACGGGAAAATAAAACTATCCCTAAGAATTGCTGTAGAAAGCCAGACAGAAGAAGTTTGAAGCAAACATTGAAGGATAAGGAGAATTTAGATACACAGTAATGGGGGAAGAAAGAAATTCCAGGCAATGAGGAGCAGCACAGAAACAGTAATGATAGCTGGGTACAGTAGCATGCCCTTATAGTCCCAGCTACTTAGGAGGCTGAGGCAGGAGGAAGGCTTGAGCTCAGAAGTTCGAGACCAACCTGGGCAACAAAATAACAAGGTCCTGTCTCTTTAAAAAACAAAAATAAAAAATCCCAATGCCCAACGCTCTAATTACCCAAAGGCTCTCAATTAACAAGTGCTGAAGCAGGGGAGAAAGACAGCAAAAAGGGTAGGAAAGAAAGGAGGGAAAGACGAAGAAAAAAAGCCAGAAGGAGCCAGAATGTTGTGGTCCATTCACAAGAGCAGGGACTCATGGGGGATAGTGAAATATATCATTTGTAGTAGTAGGAAAAAACAGATTGTTGAGAATGGACTTCTCAGGTCCAGCCATTTTATCGGTAAGGGGATGGGGGCAGGGACTCAGAATAGAGGAGGATAAAATGGAAGTCAAGGGAAATAATTGGCACCAGGAATTTTAAATAATAAGAAACAAAAATTATTTCTTTGTTTCATGACAAGGGTTATAAGTACCAGTTGCCATGAAATGAAAAACAGTAAGAGCCATCCTCTCCCCATGGACCGGAAGGGCTGGTCTCTCTGCCTCTCAAGGGTTAAGGGGAGCAACCCCCTACCCCTAGTATTTCATGTGAAGGAATAAGGTAGGGGGGCTGGAATGCCTTCTTCCAATGAGCTACCTGAGACATGTCTGAGGCCCTTCCTGCATCATAGCTGCTGAGCCCTGAGGCCTGGCTGGCCTATTCTTCTGAGTTTTAGGATGCCATTAAAGAGCTGAATCTCACAGAGTACATTATCTGCTCATAGTGAGCACTCATATGCTTTAGGTATTATAATAATACTTCAAAATATTGTAGACTAAGGTACAATTCCCATATCCTCTTTTTCTCAAGTTAGCATATATCTCCTATCCTCACTGTATTCATTTTCCAGGCTGCCGTAACAAATTACCACAAACTTGGTGGTTTAAGAAAACAGAAATGTATTTTCTCACAGTTCTAGGGACTAGAAGTGTAAAATTATCTGTGCCAGTAGGATCACATTCCCTCTGAAGGTTCTAGAAGAGAATCTTCCTTGTCTCTTGCAGCTTCTGGTGGTTCCTGGTATTCCTTGACTTGCAGACGCATCACTCCAATTTGTACCTCCATCTTCACGCGTCCTCTCTTCTGTGTCTGTGTGTTCAAATCTCTATCTTCTCTTAGAAAGGCACATTGTTGGGTTTAGGGCTCACTCCAAATCCAGGAAGATTTCTTCTTGAGATTTAACTAATTACACCTGCAAAGACTCTATTTCCAAATAAGATCACATTCTGAGGTTCCAAGTGGACATGAATTTTGGGTGGGGGGCAGGACACTATTCAGCCCACTACATCACATTTTTAAATAAGCAACTATCCCTCATCTATATGTCATAATTTTACTTATACCAGTCATTTCTTCAATATGGGGTAAAAATACATGAAAGAAGTCTAAAAATACATAAAAGAAGTCATTTACTTAATGATAAAGATAATGTGTTTTTGTAAATATCCCCCCCAATAATGTTATTTACATCTCTCACATTTACTCCAGCATTGTACAGCACTGGGTTTTTATTTTGCTTCTATCTGCTGAGGTATGTTAGGCCTCTGAATGCCAAAGTATTGCATGTTAATTATGCTACCATTCCAAAATGTAAAACCATCATTTTCAGGAAGCTCTTCTGTGTCAGGCACTTCAATGTTCTGCCAACTTGGTGGTGAGGAAGATAAAGCTCAAGGCTCAAACAGCTTATTCTAATGAGTGAACAGACAGTAAATACAAAATGCATAATGATGTAATGTTAGACTGTGAGACGTGCTATTAAGAAAAACAGGTAGAATCAGAGCATCAAGAAGGATGTGGGTGACAATTTTAGAAAGGGTGGTCAGGGCAGATTTCCTTTGAGGTGACATTTATGCAGAATAATTAAGTGACCTCCTTGCTACTTAAGTCTATTTTACATCTGTTTCTTCCATTGCATTCTTACTAGAGGCAATAAGTAGTCCACATACTAGATTAAATGTATTTTTTTCTATATTTGAATATAACTCAAATAACCATGTTTAGTAATATAAACACAGTCCTCTATGTCAAAAGGGTATTTTGGTCATTGCATCGTCAACCAACCATAGACTAACGCATCTGTGATGTATTCCTTCACAGTCACTGCATTCCAGGCACTATTCTAGATGCAGGCAGATACAGAAATGATCAACTCAGACAAAAATCCCCAGTATCACGCAACTCTATTAGAATGAGGCTTGCATTCCAGCATGAGATGTGAAGAGAGAAAACCTAGCTTTCCTCCTCAGCTCTCTTACTCCTCTCTTACACTTAGTAAATCACTTTTTAGTTGTAGGCCTCAGTTTCCAAGTCTATAAAGTAAGGAAATTGGACTACACAATCTCTGAATTTCCTTCTTACCCCTGCACTCTATTGTTTTAAGGTAGGCAGCAACCCAATTTACAATAGCTAGCCAGATATGTTAAATAGCTTCCAATTTAGGCAGCCACCAATATCCCTGGAATTATGAGCAGAAAACAGTAGCAGGAATCCCCAACTCTAGAAGTCTATAGTTAGGTGGGTGGTCTCATTGTGGGAAAAAGATGACATTATCTGTTTGAAGCAGCAGTCCCAGCTGGCAATTGGAAATATGGGGAGTAGATCTAGCCTCAGGGGGTACTGAGCTGCCAAAAACTTGGACAGAGAATTCAGTGGCTTCAAGAAAAGATTAAGTTAATACATGTGAAACACTTAAAAGAGTGCCTGGCACAGAGTAAACCTCAATAAATAAAGCTCTTCCTATTATTGGCTTGTCGCAGAAGAATTGGATTACCCTTAGAAAGCCAAGGTAGACTCACTGAGCAGTCATGGCAAAGCCTCAGTGGGCACACTGGTGCCTGCCACATACTGCATGCACCCTGATTGCTGGCATCCACCCACCAAAGGTGCAAATGTAGATTTCTGGCTTGGGCAAGAGAAATATACCTTTGATGGTGCATTTCAATGGAGTTTTTTTAAAAGTCTGTGTTCAGGCTTTGGAGGAAAATAATACATTTGGATTCAGACAATGAGAAGTTATCCAGGTAGAGATGGTGGAGATTTCTATTAGGCAGTTGTTTATACAACTCAGGCAAGAAACTAGGGCTGAAATAAGAGATGTGCCAGCCATAAGCATCCATTATGAGTCAGTGTTTCTCAAAGTGTGGTCTCCAGACCATCTGTGTTACAGTAAACTCAGGTGGGTGTTAACAAACAAATTCCAGAACCCTACCTACTAAACCAGAATCTCTTGAGGTGGAGTTTCATAATCTTCATTGTAATAACTTCCTAAATAACTCTTATGCACATTTAATTCAGAGAAACACATAGAAAGGGAATTATTCATGTTACTGCTCTTCCTATATTTGAATAGTATAATATTTAATAATAATATAATCACATAATATTTAATAATAAATACAATCACGTTCTTTATGTCAAAGGGAGTATTCTGGTCATTGGATTTGCCAACCAAACACAGACAGATGCATCTGTGATTTATTCATTCACATGAAGATAAAATCACCTGAGGAGAATAGAGAGAATGAGGAGAGAAGGTAGCCAGGAAAGGCTTATGGATAGGGCCCTGTGGTGCCTAGAATCCAGTCACTTCATACCACCTTTTAAGTGAGTAGGGATCAACCCCTGCTGCATATTGGGATAATCCAGCGCTTGGGGTCCACCCAGCCAAACTAATGAAATCAATATTCCTTAAAAGCAGGTAGGCCAGCCCCCTTCCCTCCATAGTTCCAAATAGCTGCTTCTACGCCAACCCTTGTAAACTAGTGGCAATTTTTCCTGTGGATTATTTTCTTTGATCCTCATACTACTTTAAAACTTCAGCTGAGTTGCAAATATTTAAAAACCAGTAGATTTCACTTTAAACAAAAACAGAATGTTTAGCTTCTCATGAAAACCAAAAGAACTGACCTTACAGGGTCTACATTCTTGAATGGCATACAGTTGCCGAACAAGGTCTTCAGTCATTTAAGTTCCCCACCTGGTTGCCTGGCCTCTGAAGGCATTTGGGGACTATAGTGCACCCTACCACAGGGTTTTCTTTTTGTTTTGTTTTGTTTTGTTTTGAGACGGAGTCTCGCTCTGTCGCCCAGGCTGGGGTGCTGGAGTGTAGTGGCACAATCTTGGCTTACTGCAAGCTTCGCCTCCCGGGTTCACACCATTCTGCCTCAGCCTCCCCAGTAGCTGGGACTACAGGCACCCGCCACCATGCCCGGCTAATTTTTTATATTTTTAGTAGAGACAGAGTTTCACTGTGTTAGCCAAGGTGGTCTCCTGACCTCATGATCCGCCTGCCTCGGCCTCCCAAAGTGCTAGGATTACAGTCGTGAGCCACTGCGCCCGGCCCTACAGGGCTTTCTTAGCTCAGCAGCTGCCTTCCTGCATCCAAGGCCCCACGCTAGCCTCTCCTGTCACAGATCTCAAGGTTTCCCTGAGCAAGCATGACAATGGTTTGGGAAAATCACATGAAACAGGCTCCACCTTATCTGCTGGTTTTATCCTCTCCTAGAGCCCATTTCCTGGAGCCATAGTTGCCAAAGTCTCATGTCCTCTTGAGAGAACTAGAGCTGCTACCCTGGAAGCGGCACTCACCTCAGGCCAAGTGAAGTCTGACACCAAAACTGATACTTCTGCATTCTACCAATAGGGATAGATTCCCTCCTAATCACAAATTAGCTGGACACCTGGGTCTCCCAGAATGAATCCTGGCAAGTCCCTCAAGCCTTAGTGAAATCACTCTTCTTCAGGAGAAAGCAATGCCACCTCGTTTGACCAGAGAGCCTCCCTAGGACTGTGGAAGGCTGGATTCTGTATTAGAATTCGATAGACATGCTTGGTGAGAGAAATTCAAGAAAATTGCCCCTCCTTCAAGTAATGAACTTTCTCAAGTCTCTTTTGTTTAATTACATCACAATATTAGCTAATGGATTAGCTAACTAATTAGCTAATTAATTATTTTTTAAAATATCAATGCTAGACAGCTGAAATTTTTATTGTTTTCCTGCTGTGAGAATGTATATGTATACTAATGTAAGTAATTTGTCAAACTATTGTTAAAACTATTAAGCTGGCACAAATGTTTCTTATCTACAGTAAAAAGGAAAACAATAGGAAATTAGCATTTGAACTGGTATGGAAAGTACTTCAATTTAATCACTATCAGCACACAAAGCTTTTTTTTTTTAAATTACACTCATGGCCAGTGCAGTGGCTCATGCCTAGCACTTTGGGAGGC